>NC_000004.12:111194108-111345623 GCF_000001405.40 Homo sapiens
AGATTGATGAGTAGGTAGGGCACAGGGGATTTTTAGGGCTATGCATTTGGCAAAACCCATATAACTGTATGAGACAAGGGATGAACCCTAATGTAAACTATGAACTTTAGTTATACTAAGGTATCAATATTGTTTCATAGATAGATTGTAACAAATGTTCCACACAAATGCAAGATGTTAATAATAAGGAAACCTGTGGTATGTGTTGCAGGACATGTGTTGCAGTATGGGGGAGTGGGGGACAAGTATATGAATACTCTGTACTTCTTGTTCAGTTTTTCTGTAAAATTAAAACTGTTCTGAGAAAAAACAAGGAAGTGAGAGTGGAACCCTGGAAAGGAGAGCTGTTCTATATACTGTATGTAAACTCTCCCTAACTCTCTGGCTGACTCCTGAACCATGTATACTCAGAGCAGATTCCAAGGAGCCCAGCTAAAGTCTGAACTTAGTAATGGAAGGCCCTATCCAGAGCTGTCATGCAAGAAAAAGAAATAAAAGACATCCAAATTAGAAAAGGGGAAGTCAAATTATCTCTGGGGGCTGAAAACATGATTGTACACCTAGAAAACCCTAAAGACTCCTCTAGAAGACTCCCAGACTGATCAGTAACCTCAGTAAAGTCTCAGGAGACAAAATCAGCACATGAAAATCAGTAGATCAGTAGCATTTCTATAAACCAACAGCATTCAGGCTTAGAACTAAATTAAGAATTTTATCCCATTTACAATAGCCAAACAAACAAAGAAACCCAGGAATACCTTTAACCAAAAAGGTGAAAGGGCTTTATAAGGGGAACTACAAAACACTGCCGAAAGAAACTGTAGATGACACAAATAAATGGAAAAACATCTGATATGGTTTGGCTCTGTGTACCCACCCAAACCTCACCTTGAATTGTAATCTGAATAGTAATCCCCACTGTTGAGGGTGGGACCTGGTGGGAGGTGACTGTATCACAGAGGCAGTTTCTCCCAGACTGTTCTTGTGATAGTGAGTTCTCATGATATCTGATGGTTTTAAAAGTGGTAGTTTCCCCCTCTTTCTCTCTCTCTCCTGCCACCATGTAAGATGTGCCTTGCTTCCCCTCCACCTTCTGCTATGATTGTAAGTTTCCTGAGGCCTCCCAGCCATGCAGGACTGTGAGTCAATTAAACCTCTTTCTTTTTTTTTTTAATTTTATTATTATTACACTTTAAGTTTTAGGGTACATGTGCACAATGTGCAGGTTTGTAACATATGTATACATGTGCCATGTTGGTGTGCTGCACCCATTAACTTGTCATTTAGCATTAGGTATATCTCCTAATGCTATCCCTCCCCCCTCCCCCCACCCCACAACAGTCCCCAGAATGTGGTGTTCCCCATCCTGTGTCCATGTGTTCTCATTGTTCAATTCCCACCTATGAGTGAGAACAAGCATTGTTTGTTTTTTTGTCCTTGTGATAGTTTGCTGAGAATGATGGTTTCCAGTTTCATCCATGTCCCTACAAAGGACATGAACTCATCATTTTTTATGGCTGCATAGTATTCCATGGTGTATATGTGCCACATTTTCTTAATCCAGTCTATCATTGTTGGACATTTGGGTTGGTTTCAAGTCTTTGCTATTGTGAATAGTGCCGCAATAAACATACATGTGCATGTGTCTTTATAGCAGCATGATTTATAATCCTTTGGGTATATACCCAGTAATGAGATGGCTGGGTCAAATGGTATTTCTAGTTCTAGATCCCTGAGGAATCGCCACACTGATTTCCACAATGGTTGAACTAGTTTACAAATTTACAAGAAAAAAACAAACAACCCCATCAAAAAGTGGGTGAAGGACATGAAGGACACTTCTCAAAAGAAGACATTTATGCAGCCAAAAAACACATGAAAAAATGCTCATCATCACTGGCCATGAGAGAAATGCAAATCAAACCCACAATGAGATACCATCTCACACCAGTTAGAATGGCGATCATTAAAAAGTCAGGAAACAACAGGTGCTGGAGAGGATGTGGAGAAATAGGAACAGTTTTACACCTCTTTCTTTATAAATTCCCCACTCTCAGGTATTCTTTATAGCAATGTGAAAATGGACTAAATACAACATCCCATGCTCATAGATTGGAAAAATCAATATCATTAAAATGACCGTATTACCCAAATCAATCTATGGGTTCAATGCAACCCCTATCAAATTAACATCATTTCTTCACAGAATTAGAGATAACAATCCTAAAGTCCATATGGAACCCCAAAAAAGCCCAAATAGGCAGAGGACTCCTGAGCCAAAAGAATGAAGCCAGAAGCATCACATTGCCTGACTTCAAATTATACCACAAGGCTAAAGTAACTAAAACAGCACAGTACTGGCACAAAAATAGACACATAAATCAATGGTACAGAATAGAGAACCCAGAAATAAAGCCACATACCTACAATCAACTGATCTTCAACAAAGTGAACAAAAATACACAATATGGTAAATACACCTTATTTAATAAATGGTGCTGGGAAAATTGGCTAGCCATATGCGGAAGAATGATGCACCGCCCTGTATCTCTCATCATAGACAAAAATTAACTCAAGATGGACTAAAGACCTATACATAACACCTGAAATTATAAAAATCCTAGAAGAAAACCTAGAAAAAACTCTTCTGACATCAGCTTAGGCAAAGAATTTATGATGAAGACGGTGAAAGAAAATGCAACAAAACCCAAAATAGACAAATGGGACTTAATTAAACTAAAATGTTTTTGCACAGCAAAAGAAATAGTCGACAGGATAAACAGAAAACCTGCAGAAAGGGAGAAAGTATTGACAAATTATACTTCTAACTAAGGATTAATGTCCAGAATCTACAAGAAACTCAAACAACTCGACATGAAAAATAATTAAAAATTTGACAAAGGACATGAACAGATATTTATCAAAAGAACACATATAAGTGGCCAACAAACCCATGAAAAAATACTCAACTCATCATCAGATAAATGCAAATTAAAACCACCTCACACCAGCCAGAGTGGCTTTTATTAAAAAGTTAAAAAACAACAGATGTTGGAGTAGATGTAGAGAAAAGGGAATACTCATACACTGTTGGTGGGAATGTAAATTAGCTTAACATCTATGGAAAACAGTATGGAGATATCTCAAAGAACTAAAAATATAACTACCATTTGACCCAGCAATTCCACTACAATTCCACTACTGGCTATCTACCCAAAGGAAAAAAATACTCATCAGACAAAAAAGACACCTGCACTTGTATGTTTATTGCAGCACTATTTATGATAGTAAATTCATGAAACCAACCTAAATGCCCACCAACAGCTGATTGGATGAAGAAAATGTGAGTATATATACATACATATATACACACACACATATACATACATATATACACACACACACACACACCATTGAATACTATGGAGCTATCCTATATATACTGTAATATAAAATACTATGTATACTATACTATACTATAAAAAAGAATGAAATTCTATCCTTTGCAGCAACATGGATGGAGATAGTCTATCTTAAGTGAACTAACACAGAAAATAAACTGTCACGTGTTCTTACTTATCAGTGGGAGTTAAACAAATAGTACACATGGACATTAAGATGGAAAGCATAGACTCTGGGGACTCCAAATGTAGTGGTAGGGGGCATTGACAAATTACCTACTTTGCACAATGTTCAATAATTGGGTGATGGGTACACAACATGCTCAACCCCCACTATTATGCTTATAATACCCATGTAAAAATAAGTAGCCTTAAATTTAAAATGAAATTTTAAAAGTAAAGTCTGAACTTAAATGAGATTGGAGCTGCTGCCTGAGATGGAATTTGCAGTTGGAATCCAATCAAATTAATTGCTTGCTAAAAGAAAAACATCAATGCTCTTTGGAGGACTATAATAAAATCTATAGATTTCATAACTTAACTTTTACAATGTCTGGAATACAACCCAAATTGCTCAACCTATGAAGAAACAAACAAAAAAATGTGACCCAGTCTCTAACAACTAAGACCCCTAAGATTACTGAGTTGTTAATATTAGAATATAGGTGGTAGGTAAATGGATATACACCTTCTTTCACCTTTGCCATGTATTTGTGAATAATCACACAAAAGTATGAAAAAAAAAGAGTCAGTGATGTTAGATCATATTTCATACCTTCCTCTTCTTTTCATTCTCCCATTCCACTTTCTCCATAAGTCATAGCTTCAGTTTCTTCATAGGTTCTACTTTAAATGTCTTACTGGACATCACATTTTACAATCTTTAGCACCACATATAGAACTTAGCATATAATAGACACTCAAAATATTTTTTTAACTTAAATACTGAGTATTAGAGTTCCATTAGATTTTCCTATAGAACAACACAGTTACAGTGTCTTATGAGTAAATGTGGTTTAATGATTTTTTTTTTTACCTCCATGAATGATTTGTAAACATGACTAATGGCACCAAACACCCTGATTTTAACCAAAGCCTATTTTTAGATGGCCCATTCCTCTTTGGCTAAAACACTGCCTCAGCTTTGAAAGCTAAGTCCCAGCTTATGTACTTAAGTTCCTTTTATTAGCTCCACATACTACTACACAAGCAAAGAGCACATGTGCTGTGCATTTTTTGTGTCATTAAATGCAATTTTCTTACAAGTATAAGCTCGATCCTGTGTCAAGAAAGGTACAACCTGAATTGATAACACTGATAAGATGCCACTACAGGTATTTGTTTTTTAAAATAGCCTTATCTTATTAAATATTCAGCTAAAAAATACATATGATGATTCTTTCATGTTGGAAGGTCTAGTTTATTCTTAACCCAAAACATTTTTAAATGGTGGTGTATTAGTCTGTTTTCATATTGCTATGAATAACTGCCTGAGACTGGGTAATTCATAAAGGAAAGAGGTTTAATTGACTCACACAGTTCAGCATGGCTAGGGAGGCCTCTGGAAACTTATAATCATGGCAGAAGGCAAAGGGGAAGCAAGGCACCTTCATCACAAGACAGCAGGAAGGAGATGTGTCAAGTGAAAGGGACAGAGCCCCTTATAAAAGCACCAGATCTCATGAGAACTCACTCACTATCATGAGAACAGTATATGGGAGATTGCCCCCATGATTTAGTTACCTCCACCTGGTCTCTCTCTTGACATGTGGGGATTATGGGGATTATAATTAAAGATGAGATTTTGGTGGAGACACAAAGCCTCACCATAAAGGTGGGGAGGAGCTTATGAAAAATTTAAAAAAATCATTCATACACTGAGAGACTAATAATAAAATTAAAATTAATTTTGTAATATTCTTAATGAACTAATTCAATGACTAATACTCCCAATGATATTAGATAGGTGTGATCTTTGTCATCAGACTTTCAAAAGAGCAAATTCATTAGGAATTAAACCATGACATGAAATTAATTTTAAATACCCTACATCCTGTCTAGAAAATTCACCTCACCAGTAGTAATTTAAATAAAATCCTGTTGTTTATCATAATTCCTTTCAGCAATAGAGCAACCTTGACAGATCCAATTTTGTAATGGACAATTTACTCTGGTTAGTAATTAGGTGAGTGGTTAAAACATTGTTTCTGTATAATAGGATACATTTCTTTTAAGTGGCCCCAGTATTATTGTCTTGGTCTAGTTCATGAATTAGCCTTTGTAATGTCCATAGACAGAACTTTTTAATAGATTATTTAGCCTCAGAAGATGTTTGATATGGTTTGAATGTTTGTTCTCTCCAAATCTCATGTTGAGAGATAATCCTCAGTTTTGGAGGTGGGGCTGGGTGGGAGGTGTTTGGATCATGGTGGGGATCGTTCATTAATGGCTTAGCACCATCTCCTTGGTGATGAGTGAATTCACATGAGATTTGGTTGTTTAAAAGCATGTGGAACCTGCCCCACTCTCTCTGGCTCCCTTTCTTGCCACGTGATTTGCCGGCTTCCCCCTTGCCTTCCGCCATGAACGTAAGCTTCCTGAGGCCCTTAACAGAAATAGATGTTGGCACTGTACTTTGTGTATAGGCTACAGAACCATGAGCCAATTAAACCTCTTTTCTTTATGTTACCCAGCCTCAGGTATTTCTTTATTGTAACACAAACACAGACTCATACAATATTCTAAGATTTTACAAAACAGCATTTTAAATTTCACTTTAGTATTCACATCATTCATTACTCACCTGAGAGCAGGGTAGAGTGTCAATGGAGAGTTTGTATCACAGCGCCACCATGGATCAGCTGACAAAGACCTTCAGCAATCACTTAACCTCTCGGCTTCTTTCTCTCCAGATATGTAAAATGGCAATAACTACCACATTGTGTCATTAATGATGAAATGACTGATGTAAAGCACTTAGAATGAAACCTGGCTTCCGATAAGTATTACATGTTAGTTAATGTAACTGTTTGTTCATATACTCATAGCCTGGTATTTAATTTCTTCTTTCCTCTGCCAACCCCCATCCCCACACCCACTACCTGCAAAAAAAATCACCTTAGTCAACTTATTGAATGGTAGACCTTATTAATAAACTAAAACTTTTGGTAAGGAATACATTAACTTCTTTTTTTCTGTAAAATTATAGTGGAATGTAAGTTTTTCCATAGGATAAGATTTAGACACATATAATAACTTATGAGATATTCAGCAAATAAATTTAATTTTTTTCTCAAGCCTTTACATTATATATAAAGTAATGTACTTAGGATGTATTTTAGACAGTATTTCAAATATTTACCTTGATTCAATATGTAAGATGGTAGAGGTATTTCTGAAAGGCAGTAGAAAATTGAAAAGTATTTAAATGCTCAGTTTTAGGGAGGAATTGCTAAAAATGTTAATGCAAGTTTCTTTCTGTATCTCCTAATCAGCTAATAAACTTAGCTAGAGGTTCAGTATGGTTTTACTTAGCTCAAATCTATAACATCTATGTAGCTTGAAATGTAGAATGCCAAACTTCTGGAAATAAGAGACATATTAGTTAAAAATCCTGAAGCTTCAATTCAACAGTCAACATATACTTTTAGGACTTTTCAGAGAGTATTGGTTTTCCCTACTGTGCTTACAGCTTCTGAGTTCACTGTGGTACTAACTCCTGAGTAAATATGATGGCCAACTAATGTAAGCTGTATTTTGTTTGCTTCTAATTTTCCTCGATATCTGCGTAAGAGTTAGTGTTATACGGCACATGGACTGCTGATATATTTTACAGGCAAACATGAGTTCCGGTGTAATTTAGGTAACTTTCTAGTTTTGGGTAAGTCATCATTTTCAAGTCTCAGTTTTCTCATTGGTGAAATAGAGATGCCTGTTTATGATTCTTTCCCCCTGGGACTATTGGGATAATGAAATAATGTGGTATATGTGAATGTTCTTGGTGAGCAGTGTTGTTATTTGAACTATCTTGACAATGACAGAATCATCAAAATGAAGACAATGAAGGATTCATAGAGATAGTACTCAATCTTTTCTCCAAATGATCACTTTGCCACTGCCTCTTTACAGATATAATTATTTCTAGATAAATAACATATAGTAGTTAAGTAATGATAAATATACAGGATGTTCAATGGGGTGACAAAATGACTGTGAGTTCAGACCTTTCTCACATCTAAGCAAAATTGCTAAGGGAAGTCAAAATGATATTTGGAAAACTGTGCTGTCTAAGTTTCCGGATTCATCTCTTGCTGCCCTCCCACAAGTGCTCTGCCTCATGTTTATACCCAAATGAGCTGTGCTCTTTTTTACCTCCTATCCTTACACATACTGTTTGCTCTGCCCAAAACATTATTATTTTTTCTCTCATGTACCTAGTGATCTTTTACTCATCCTTCAAAACTCTATTCATATTTACTTCATCCATCAAGTCATTCTGAACTTCCCCAGGTAGTTTTACACTTGCTTTATGTGTGTATCATAAGCCTATCATAGCTGGTACTTTTCACTCAGTTGGAAATGTAGCTTTGCATTCTTGTCCTTTACACTGGATTGTGAAGCTCCAGATGGCAGGGACAACATAGAAGTTAAAAGCACAGGTTCTAACATCACAGTGCATGAATTAAAATTGTAGCCCTACACCTACTAGCCATATGAGCATGGGCAAGCAAAGAAATCACTCATATGTAAATTAGGGTAACAATAATATGTACTTAGATAACCAGTGTATTCAGTAGACTAGATGAGTAAAACTCTTAGAACAATGTCTGGCACACATCTCAAACTCAATTAATGTTAGGTATTAAAATGATTCCATCTTTTTACTGAGAGAGCATTTCTAATAACTTGAGTGAATGAATAAGTGATTATAATGTCCACTTATGAGAGAAAATTCAGTTACTTTTAAAATATGACCTCTTATTGACATACTTGAAAAAATGTTAAACTATCTATTAAAATATAAAATTATTCAATGCATACAAAACAATGTGATTTTTGTGAAAAAAGGCATATATTAGGAGAAATAAGTTCTGCCTAGATGCATACGTATTTTGATTTGAGCAATAAACAAAGTGGAATAGAAAATACAATTTATTTAGCTTTTTAACAAATTTAAAGATTCACACCAAAACCATAAAAAATAAACAAGGAAAAATAACTGAGTTCTGAGTTGCCATGTCATTGAGGTCAACATTTGGTCATGGGAATGATACTGTTCTTGGAATTAATTTATAAACCTAATGTAAATTTCTTTCCAAATCTCTAGTGTTTTTCTAAAATTTTACAAATATTTATGAAGTTTCTATAGAAAAATAAATAGGTGCATTATAGGCAAAGCATTTTAAAAATAGGTGAATGGATGACTTTCTCTGTTGTATCTTATCAATTAATTAAAAAGTGACTCCAAAACATGTAAAGTCACTAACATTGATAAATCGTTATTTCCAAGACCAATGAAAAGATGGATTTTTAGATAAATGATCCTAGATTAATTGATTAAAAGCATAGTGAGAAAAAGAAACAGTCTTATAACATACTATAAAATAAATTGCAAGTTGATATAGAAGTAAATGTGAAGAAGAAATTTTTTTAAGTAGGAGAAAAATGGACATGACTTTGTTTTGGATCACGGGGTGAGGAAGGTCTTTCTAGGCATAAAAGTGAAAAGAAAAAAACAATCTATAAGATTGATAGATTAAATACATGAAAATTAAAAACACCTGCAATGATAATATACCCACTGGCCAAGAGCACTGATTTTGAGATAGGCACATCCGGGTTTAAAAAACCACTCTGCCATTTATTAGGTATGACCTTGCACAAGGTACTTAACCCAAAATGCTCAATTTTCTTATCTGTAAAATAGTCATTGTGATAATAGTAACAACTATTATCATTGTTATTATAATAATATAGCAACTACCACATAAGGCTTTTTGTGAATAATAAATAAAATAATGTTCTTTAAGCACTTAGCATAAACAGTGATAATACAAATGGAAAAACGAAATATTTATAATTATATAATATGCAAAGATTTAGCATCATTAATATATAAAGATTTCTTACACATTTACATTCAAAAGATGAATCAAGAGAGGAAAGATGTGAACATGTAATTCACACAATAAACAATAGATGCCAGAACTAGAGCTAGAGATCAAGGTTATCTTTAACTCTTAGGATCAAGAGGGATTCTTGGGTTTTGCATTTTTCAAATTGTCTGCAATAAACAATTTAATTTTATATTCAGACAAAAAAACTACAGAATTATGTATTTTATTTATTTAATTTACAGCACAAGAAAAGTATAAATGAATATGTTGACAGGTATTTTTTAGTTTTGAGGATCTACTTTTTCTTTACTTTGTATATTCCAGGGCTTGATCCTGGGTCTTGCATGCCTTCAGGAAATCAAGATGCCTTCAGAGAATTTCTACAGATTCCTAGAATGTTCTTACATGTCCTGGTTTTTGCTTATTACCTTTTGTCCTGAGACATTGGCTTTCTTGCAATATCTCTCACTACCTTGTAACTGCTCTTCCTTGTCCTGCTTCAACCAACCCTGAGAACATTAAGAGAAAGAAATAGAAGGAAGGGTAGAGGGGGTGTTAAAATAATTAATTGTCTAGTTTTTGATGAAGATATCAGCATACTATTCTCATTAGAATATTAAAACAGACTCCTGCGTGAAATACACATTATGTAACAATGTACAAGTTTCACATCCTAAAGCTCTATAGTAAGATGTTTAAACGTCATAAATGTAGTTTACTGATGTGAATCTGAGGAAGATTTTACAGACATATTTTAAGGGCAGACAGAATGAGATTAGGCTATGATAATTGAGACTACTATTTCAAATAGATTGCTATTCCTTATTTGTCTGTGCCTCTGCCTTTTTTATTGCTGTCTTCCTATGACCTTTAACTGGGAGACATATATAAAGATTGCACGCTAATGTCTCAACTGATTTCTTTCATTGTTATTGGTAACTTTTATACATAAGGTTCTTATTGTCCCTGTTGAAGGGAGAGGTAAAATCAATTTCCTCTTCAACATATTGATAAACAACTCCAGATATAAGAGGTAGGGAGGAGAAAGTAGATTTACCTTTGTGTGACCTACAAAGGAATGCTGGAAAAATTAATTCCAGAATATTATGTCAACATTCCTTGAAGTTGTGGGTATGATTTACATAGTAGGTCTTCTCCATCCACCCAGCTACTTTCATCTTGATACTGTAAATTGCTTTCATTTTCCCCCTCCGATCTGTGTGCTTGAGGTATTGTTGTGATAAATTATGGAGGTACAGAACTGAAAACGGTGTGTAGATTGTCTAAGAAATTGAGTGCAGTCAGCCTTAAAAGTGGTGGATGATGTGCTAAAGCAGCTACCTCACCCTGACCATGTCCCATATGTCGTCAATGAACAGCTGCTTTTAACTTTGCCTTTTGCCCAGAGCACAAGAGCTGCTGGATTTATTGAATTAATAACCACTCCATTATGTGTGTTTTGTTTTCCTGTGACCGTGAAATCTGGCTATAATGTTAGGAAAGTGTAAGACAGGTCTCCTTAACAAACAAGGCAGTACCTATTTTGGGGGTCATTAATTAATACTTAATCTTTTGGGTAGAAAATAATAGGGAAATCCTTTCAAATCTGGAATAGAATGCTGCTAACAATATTGAGTTAAAAAGGCATTTTATGGGTTACATAGATAGATAGAAGCTGGCTTTCACTATGATTTGTAGTCTGAAGCATAGCTACTGACTGCAATGTGTTTGTGATTGAATAGGGTTTTTTTTGAAACCTGTATTTTCTTTTTTAAAGTAGAATGTTTTATATATATATATACACACACACACACACACACACACACACACATATACACACACACGTATATACACCCACATATATATGTATATTTATATGTATATTCCCTAACAAACATCTAAATGCTTTCTGCAGGAAATGAGGGCAAAATCGTAGACTATCTTCCTTTTACACCCTGGATCATTTCCTGAAGAGGTTTGAATTCAACACGAAAGGCAGGATTTTAGCAGGGGTGGAATGCAGCACATGTGGAAAGGTTGTACCAACGACCCTTAAATTTTTTGAGCAAGAAGGTGAGAGATAAGTCTTCTATCAAGAAGTTTTAGTCTGGGCCATTTTGACTGACCTGGTTTCTTTTCTTCCTTTCTTTTCTCTCTCTCCCTTTCCTTCTTTCTTTCTTTCTTTCTTTTTCTTTTTCTTTCTTTCTTCTTTGTTTTTCTTTCTTTTCTTTCTCTCTTTCTTTTTCTCTCATTTTCTCTTTCTCTCATTCTTTTTTCTTTCTTGCCAACTCGCTATACATTGCTCATGTTTCTGCCCTAAATTCTAACCCTCCCATCAAGATTTCATAGAAAAAAATGCAGAAGGTAAATGAATACCCTTTTATCAGTTGTGTTTCAAGCTGTTGGTTATTTCCCTGTTGCTCCCAGCAATTGGCAGAAATAGTTGTCTTTTGAAGACTTAGAAAATAATAGTTTTGAAATTTATTCTGATTTGTTTCTTGAAAATAAAAGTAATAAAAACAATCAAGTTTATGATAAAAAGGGCCTAAAAGATTGACTATTTAAAGGCTTCATTTTCTATATGGGGGAAATAAGACTCAGAAAAGATTTTTAATTTGCCCAAGGTTATACAAATGATTGTAACCAATTTCTACTGATTCCCAGTTCAGTTCTATCTACCATGAAACTAAGGAGAAAGGCCTGGATGTTTTAATGAAACTCACTCTTCCCTTTGTTATTTGTTCTCAATACAGAATTATCCATAATTGTTAAACAATGAAATAAGACCTTTCTAGCATTCTCTTTTCAAATCATATTTTCAAGCTGGAATTGAAAACTATAGTGTATTAAAAGTGAATGGTTATAACAATACTTTTCAAAATATTATAAGACTCTGAAATGTTTCTGAATCATTTGAGTAAAGTTAAATTTTGTTTAGCAAAGTATATTTTATTATGTTTCAAAAATTGAGTAACACAACATAATTACTTAATAAATGCCTACTGTGAGTCAGGCACTGGCTCAGTTTCACCAATCTTCAAAACAACCCTCCATAACAGGAATCATAGGCCTCATTTTACAAACTAGAAAAATGAGGAAGTTTTAGCAATTTTAAGTCATAAAAATAAGTGATTGTACTGGGATTCAAATTCAGTTCCATCTTAGTTCAAAACCCAAGCTCCTTCTGTTATATCAGGTTATTTACATATATGTAAATTGTGTAATATATAAATTAGTACCCATACCCCAAATAAACAATAAAGCAGATAATTTACTGCATTTGCCTTTGAAATATACTCAAAGAACATCTGAGTGAATAGTCTCCCTTCCCTTTCATGTCGCCACCCTCCACAAACGCAGACAGCACACAGGCACACACATATTATCTCAAGTTATTATGTGCAACACAGTCTTGAATGACTTGAAAATGACCTTTATTATTGGTTAAAAATAGGAATGGATATTGCTTTTATTTCATAATTTTATTTATAATTTCTGAAACAATTTGAATCAATGACACTATTTCTGAATTATACTTTAAATTGAAAAATATGTATTCTAACCTATAAAAATTGGATTCAACTAAAAAAATTTACTGGCTTCCTGAATCAATATATTTATTGGTGATGACTTGCAAAAGAATATTAGAAAACAACAATTTTGGGAATTTGTAGGCTGGACGTTGTGGCTCACGCCTGTAATCCTAGCACTTTGGAAGGCCGGGGCAGGAGGATTGCTTGAGCCCGGGAGTTTGAAACCAACCTGGGCAACATAGAGAGACCCTGTCTCTAAAAAGTAAATTAAAAAAATAATCTGGGAATTTGTTTTGTTTATTTGAAGATTGTTGGTTGGATTAGAGTGACATATTGGGTCATCGTTTCTATTTCTAAGTTTAATATAAAAATGAAATAAATTATTTGCTATGGGAAAGGGATATTTTTGGAGGAGTCTAGTTATTTGTAGATCGACTGATTATTTGTTTGCCTGGGGCAATGCTGGCTTAACTTGTTCAGGAACTCATAGCTCTTAGTCTCCCTCTCAAGTGGTTCTAGTTTGAGTGATATTATACGCCCACCCGATTGAGAGAGCACTGTAGCACCACATGTTTTAAAGAAGGATTAACTAATTATGTTATAGGATGTTTTAACATCTCCAAGTGAAGGAAAAAGGCATAGTTCATTTTCTGTGTATATTAATATTTTCATATATCAATAACCTTGAAATTCCTTATATAATTATTTCCTTAAATTCCAAAGAATAGTGTTAATGTATTGTTTCTACAAACAATTTTACTCTAATTGTGTATAAGTTGCCTGGTGAAAATAGAACAGTAATAACCCTTCTATTGCCATCAATAAAATTAACTCTATCTGGTCTTGTTTTCAACTTTTTATCTATAAGAACAAAACTCATTGTTGATTTGAGATGGGACTCATAGGCCCATTTGTCAAAGAGACTTATTTTCTCACCAGTCTCTTACTTAAATAAGACAAATCTTTTTTCCAACACTTCACAGCAAAATCTAGCCCCTCCAAAACAGAACACCCGTCTCTACACCATTACACACATTTTACGCTAAAAATATCTCAAAGGACTATGATTCATTTTAAAAATTAGGTTGATTCACTTTAGAAAAATGAAATATATTATTTTTCTACCACATGAATAAGATGAAGCCTCTACTTCTAAATTCATTTTCAGCTAAATCTATCCCCATATAAACGAGAAATGCTGACCTTGGGTGTCCTTTTTGTTGGAGCTGGAACAATAATTGCACATGCATATTGATACCTGACATTGAAGGACAGATTCCGAAGATCCATTTATTGTAGACACAGCACTGGGATCTTTATTAAACATGTGGTGGTGGTGAGGCAATCTTAAACTGATATAACAAATTAAAAGAGACCGTATTCCTGTTTTCCAGTTCAGAAACTAGTCGCTAACTACTATTGTGCAGAGGAGGTAATGCGTTAGAGAGGAGAATGAAGATCAGTATACTAAAAACTTACAATCTGTTTATTAGAGAAATGTAAGTAAAAGTTTACTTTCTGTTCAAACCCTCTGACCTTTGTCCTTAGCTAAGCTACACATAAAACATCCATACGGCCCATAGAAACCCCTATCACACATCCTAGTAAGCTTTAAATATTTATTTATTTAAACTTACAAATAAATAAATTGAATGTGCTTATTTAGACAATTGTGGTTATGTTTAATGACAGGGGTGTTATTTTTATTTAAGTATCGCTTTAAATTAAATGAGACCCTTGTTGAAGCTCTTGAGCTGCTGTGTAAATGTACGTGACAGCGGACCAAGTCCTGCTTTACAATCCACACAGTGGCATGAAGGAGAGAATGTGAAAGTGTTCCTTCAATTGAGCTACATTCTAGAGAAGACAACTATTTAAATTTCATCTTTAAGATTTTTCATCGTATTCTAAATAAACAAATTGCCGTTACAGTGTAGACACAATTGCAATCTTCCCCATTCTTAAGTCAACAGACTGTGGCTGCATTCTGCGGTGGCTGAGTTACCTGGGTGGTCTTTAAGAATTGCCCCAGGAGGTAGGCACTGTCATAGTCTAATCCGGATGTTACAAAGGTATGTAAAATGGCATGTCTTGCGAGTTTCGTTTATGTGTTGTCTGGTCCTTCAGGTGGAAACAGGCATTCTTTAAAGCTTTTTTGGAACTTCTGTGGAATGAATGGGTTTGAAAACTATTAACATTGATTTTCTTAATAAAAATGTTGAAATGAGACCTGGAGCTTATGTTGAAATATGAAAATATGTACAAGGAAATTAACAAACGTTTAGAATTAAAGTTCAAGTCTGAAATATGTATGTTGAATCTGTATGGGACTTTTAACGTAAATTTTAAAAATTGTTTCTGCATCATACAACAATAGTTAATAAAATTAATTTTAATGTTTATTTTTTAGAATGTGGGGGACAATGAAATAATATCTTGTGTATATCATGACATCACCAATTATCTTGTGCTATCAATTCAGCAATATGTGAAATGGCGAGCTGATATTAATCTTTCCATGGAGATGGGAAGAAATGCTGTGCAGAGATGCATCTAAGACAGGGAGCTTTGGGCCAAAACAGAACTCCTCCCATATGGAACTCCCCAAAGGGAACTGACAGCACCTAGAAATGTGTATACTGATGCGACAATCCAGCACCTGTCCTGCTAACAGCCCTGAAGGAGCCAGTTTCAGTTAGTCCAGTAAATCAAAGTGGCATCTCTCCTAAGAGGTAACTGAAAAGGAAGCAGTCCAAACCACGCATTCCAATCCTTACTGGGCCACCTGGAATTTAAAGCTAAAGCACTGGCTTTTACTTAGAATGCATAAGGAGACTACCTCCCCAGCATGACCTTTTACTCATTTTAGAGAATTAAATAGAGCTTACCAAAGAGTAACCTTCTCTCTTTTTCATGCACCTGCACACATCCCAAATCAAGAGTGCTGAAACTAAATGATCTTTGAAAGCAAAGAAACAGCAACGACCTTTTGTGAGTAAGTCTTCCTGGAAAACAACTGGGAGGAGAGGTCTAGAATCAATGTCAAAAGGACTGATAATTTGAGAAAGCATTTAAAGATTCAAAGTTTATTTCAAATGGAGTCCCAAACTCCCATAGAAAAAAAATACTGAAATTAAATGAAAAATAGAATGTATTCTTGCCTTATGTATACGGATTGAGTGAAAAACCCATGCAGAGTAATTATTTGAGAGTTACTAAGATGAATATTCTAATAATTTCATTATAATGAGTTATCTTCAGTGAGAAATCCTGAGGAAGTGCGCTGATTAGAATTATTCAAGTAAGAAATCCAGTGTAAATTGTTTTAATCCTTTCTAGTCAAATTAATATGGTGTGGATGTCTTGTGGATACAAACTCAGTTATCTTTCTTGTTGACACATATAAGAAAATTCTGGCTGGGCACACATGATTTATTCTTTATATCTGGAGCTGTGCTGTAATCATTCACCCTTTTTCAAGTCGAGTTTGGCAACTTTATCTCGCTTGCAGTTTGCATTTTTTGAAAGTGAAAATATATTCTGCAGCTTTTGATGTGTTGATTGGTAGGAAGGTAAAGACAGCTGCACACAGTCCCTGGAGACAGGGCTCAGTGGCTAAATGAAGACCTCTAGTGCTTTCTTGTTAGCCAAGATAGATCTACATCCCCATGAACCACAACTAGTCAATAGCAGAGGCTCTCAGTGCATGTGATCAGAAGCCACAAATCAGTTTTCCCTGGGACTTAGTTATCGGCATATTGTGCCGTAGGCCATGCCCCGGTGCTGCTCGTTTGACTGTAATTTTTCCCCCAGTGAAGTTTTTAAAGTCACGGGCTGAGACTGTAACTGTGCTCTCTTGGCAACGAGGCTGTCACTAGCCTGCCAGATATCAATTGCCCATCAGATAAATTGCTACTTTAATGTACTCAGCCACTCACTATTAAGGAGGTTTAATGCTACCAGGATTTCTCATTATGTTTTCCTCTCCAAAATGTATTTCCAAATGTCTCCTTCCTTAAGACCAACACATTTACACTATACTGATGTATGTGCATGAGTTGACCAGTTGCATTTTTAAGTCTCCATCACTTTTATCTAAAGTGTTGTAATAGCCTCCTCGTTGGTCTCAGTATAACTGACTTCTTGCTATCTAATCCACCCTACACCCTTCTTCCAGAAGTGTCTTTCTCAAAGACAAATCTAGTTATATTCTCTCTCTTTTTAGAATTTCCCAATATCTTCTCTTATATCTTATCTATCTATCTATCTATCTATCTATCTATCTATCTATCTATTTATCTAACTATCTTTCTTTCTTTCTTCAGTGGGGCCCCTTAAAAATCCCCTTGTGTTAGGGCCTAGGGTACCCTAAAAATACCACTTTATTAGGGATAATTGCTTTATTCAGTCATTAGCTTGTCCCCTGAAAGTAGTCAAGTCCCTCTTCTTTGTAAAATTATAGTTTAAATTTAGGCACCAAAGCTATGTTTGAAATACCCATATTGTTGGCTTGCTGCTGTGTTTAAAAGGATTAGTGGGTTATTTTTGTGAGGGAATCCTCATCCCTGGCTAGTGGGCCACTCCTAGTGTGCTCTGGGCAGACCCATCCCTAAACGTAAGTTCTCCCTCTCAGTGAGTAGACCCTGCTGGGAGGGCCTCTTCTCCTCACAAGATTCTGATTATACACGATGCCCTCTAAGAAGAGGCTGCTGTTATTGCACATCCTAGGCCGGGATGTGGTCAGTTCTCATCCTCTGCTGCTCTGATGAGAAGTGAGGTTCTCAGGGCAGCGGACTTCTCCTTCATTATCACTCTGAGCTGTTCCCTGGCACCCTATACTATGGTGTAAAGGTTCAGTGTTTCCCAAACTCTTGAAAGCAGCATTTATGAATGGCACATGGTGGCCTGGTCTCAAACTGCCCACTTCTCCTGTCCCTCTCCAGGGTACTCCAGCAGTACTAGACCGAAACCACTCACAGTTCTCTGAATGTCTGCCTCTTCAAGCCTGGGTTACTTTACGTACTATACCCTGTGGTTGCCTTCACATAGATTCCTCCTCTTTTTATCTGCCTGCTAAAGTCATGCTCATCCTCTAAGTCTCAATTTAAATATCCCCCCTTCTCTGACATTTTCAGTAGCTGAGGGAAAATTATTCTTTTTTAAATAAGAGAGTCTTGAGCCTTTTTGAGAAAGGAGGTAGTAGAATGGGAGAGATTGATAGTCTGGGATAACTGATGGATCCCAGTTCAGAAATATATGATAAAGAGAAAGATCAAAAGCACAGAAGAAAAGCGTGTATGCCTGCTCTTACACAGCCTCTGTGGATTGTAACCATTTGTTTCTGTTTCGCTCTCCCATTCCAATGGTGCAGTGGCCCAAGCCACCAGGGTCTCTTGCTGTGAGCACTCTAATAACCTCCCAAGCGGTATCCTTATTTCCACCCTTGCTCCACTGTAGAATAATCTCAACACAGCAGCTAGAGGGAATCTTAAAACGCAGGCCAGATCCTGTTGCTTTTCTGCTCAAAATCTCCCATTCTCCTTCAGATGAACACCAATGGGCCATCTGATGCCCTCACGTGATGTGCCTTGCTCTATTTCCTCTGCTGAACATATCACCTTCTAACACAATATTTAAGTTACTTATTTATATTGTTTATTAATCCCTCCCACCCAATTGACATATGAGCTCCACTAATGAAGTTTTATCTGTATCTGTAATAACGGGGATACTTATTAAGTCCCCAATAAACATTTATTGAATGACTGAGAAAATTTTCCCATGGATGCTCATACATAAAACCAGTGTAGAAATTCACAAGCTCATAAAATTGATACCATTCATGACTTTGGCAAAAATCTTGGATATCTCTATTAAAAGTCCTTTTTAATAAAAAATTTTGACTACTTAACTAAACTTAGTAAATTTGAATAATTCTTTAAGCTGATACTACAGCTTCTATTAGAATAAGACCTTCAGATGATTATCCTCATATATCTCAGTTGATTGTTTCTAAGGGATTTTTTTTCTTTTTCTATGAATGACCCTTACATTTGCTGTTATCCTGAATATACTAGAATGATTTTAAAGTAATGACTTTCTTATAAAACTTCACAAAAAAAGAAAAAAAAATTCACTAAGAGAAAATAAGCAAAATTAGAAAAAAATATAATTTATTTTTGGATAACTAAAATCAATGGAAACAACTTCCTATTTATTTACACATTAATATTTGTGTTTTGATTAGCTACCATGTATACAAACTACCATTATAATTTTTGTTTAGAAAGTTGTCACCATTGGTATTCAAAATTTTCTCTTTATGAACTGTATTTTACAAAAATATGTACTCCTAACTGAAGTCCTCATTTTTATTTTAAACTATAGAAAGCTTGTTTCTTCATTGAGCCCATAACCAGGGTTAGATTTTTATCGCTATTAACACATGAGCCAAGAGAACATTTTCATGCCAAAGACAGTTATACTGTCTGTGCCCCGAAGAGCACAGTAGTGGCTGTTTGGACTTTGAACAACATATTAGTGAAGTCAAGTCACACATTTCTCGATGCCATTACGCAAACACAGGAAGAATGAAAGCCAGAGCTTGTAAAAGTAATTCTTGGAAGGCTTCAGGAGTGTATAAAATGTGCTCTGTAATTTTCAGCCTCCTGCAGTGCAAGTGATTAGCTAAAGAAACACTTTGAACCTGTTAGTTGTACATCTTTTAAACCATTTTAAATTATGGAAAAGATAGTCCTCAAGAAATTAATTTAAGTTTTGGACAATAATGCAATCAGGGATATCTATGTTTGCAGTCTTTTCTCTCTGCTTGCATACATCTTTCTCTGTCAAGTACATCAAACAGCTAATTAGCCTCATTTTAAGAGCTTCTCTGCTCACATCACTTAAAAGGATCTCCAGGCCGCCTTCTTAGAGAGTTCACACTTTCTGTGCATTGGCTTTCTGAAAGTTTCTTAGTCTTTGAAGGAATCTATTCCCTACATATTGGAAGAACTTTAAAAGTAGATGGACTTTCCTTCCCACAAATCAATTTTCTTTGTTTTCTCACTTATGATCAACATTTTACAAATAATCTTGTAAAGGTTGATACATATATTTTACCTGATATTTGCTTATTTTAGTTAAATACTCTTGGGTTTGCTGAAGACATCTGAAAAACATTAGAATGACTGCTTTTTATTAAGACATGTGGTGCCAGGAGAAAAAAAAATTGTGAGAGACTAAAGTGTTGCTTTCATTTAGCATAAAGTGTTACTACACTGACAAAAGTTTGATGTTTCAAATACCCACTTTAGAAGTAACTACAGGTCACATGATCTACAGATATCACATGTTAGCACATGTTAAAAGTTATAACCATAACTAGAGACAGAATTTCTGACTCACAGCTTCCATTAATCTGAACTATCATATGTCATCTCAAGTTGACTATAAAAATAACTCAAGACACCAGCGTGCTTCAATTAACAGCTGAAATATTGTGATATTTTAACACAGGTGATATAAAGAATCAGAGCCACAAATAGATACATAACTGTGAGTTGTAGCTACTTCCTTGCAAGTTTATTGTTTAGGGCAGATGTAGAGAATGCTTTCTCCCCTTACAATCCTATAGGACAGGGTGTGGGGGGGATGGGGCAGTGGGGGTATTATACTTACTTGGTTTCTTGATAATCTCGAGATACGTATGAATATGACCTGTGGCAAGATCGGTGGTAGATAGGTAAAAAACACCCCAGTATGTTTGAGATGGGGTAGGGAGTCTATGGTATCTTGAGGAGAACAAGGTGCTCAGAAAAGCCAAGGAGATGTCTGTGAAATAACAACAATAATAACATTAATACATCCATTGTGAACTTGGTATGCTTTAGACATAATTTTAAATGTTTTTAATATTTTTACTCACTAAATATTCAAAACAACTTTTAAGGTATTATCACCAACTTACCAATATAGACACTGAGGGCGGAGAGAGTTTAAGTAACTTCTTCAAGGTCACACACCCACCACATGGTGGATTTAGGATTTCACCCCTGCAGTCAGGCTCCAGAACTCTGCAGTCTTAAAATCCTGAAGGAAGAACAAAAGGAAGCAATAATGGAGATAAAATTGTGGAGATGGGGATGGGATAGGAAGTGAGGGAAGAAGTAAGAGAAGAAAAGAGGACTAAGTAGAGGCTAGACAAAAGTTATTTGTTTAGGTAACATCTAATAGCACAATTTTAATGGAAGGTCAAGATGTTTAAGGAGTAAAGGAAGGTATGGTAGGAAAAATATTTCCTTGAGTAGTGTGATATTTGACCTATGCTTTTGAAGTGAGTCATGTGGATTTAAGATTTTTTTTTGCCTTAAGATTTCATTAAAACTGAACCCATAGTTTGTATTAATACTTACTCAAGTATATTTTTATACCAAGCAAAAAAATTATTTCAACAAAAATAAATATTATGGTTTTAAAGGAGAGGGAATGAAAGCCAGGTTGATACATGAACTATCCAAATAAATTTCAAGAAAAACAAAAACACATGAACACTTATGTTTTTGCTTATATTTTACTGGAAGTATGTTCATTAAGTCTCTGTACATCAAAATTAGGCATTATGGCTGGCCTCATGCAGGTATTCCTGAGAAGACCAATAAGTAATAAGCAGTCTTCAATCTTTAGCAATAACACAAAACCAAAAATATCTCCCAATTCACCATTAAAATATGAGTGCAATAAGTTGAAGGCAAATTTTTAAATTATTTTATAATTAGAATGTTGTAACAAAGATTGCATCATATCATGCTTGGGCAGCTTATTTTTCAAAGGTAGGAAACACCTTTACAAACTAAACACTTTTTTTTAACCTCACCTTTTCAGTGTTTAATAATATCTTTTCACCAGATCAAGTGCATTGATCTTGTTGGTGAGGATCTTTTTAGATCTGATGCTGCTGTACAGATATTTCTCTGTCTTCATGTCATTGACAAATTTGAACATATTTGTTTACATTACTAATATTGTCTAAATACTGATGTTGAATGGCACTGTGCCACAGGGCACTGTCACAAATCACATTTAACTCCTGGACATGGGAATATCTATTTATTTGCCAGCATATTTTTAGTAAATATAGTAAATATGTCCTGCCAGGTATTCTTCTCTTGAGCCAGCTATATTTTTCCCCCCTTTGCAAAACAATATCATAAGATTTTGAGTCCTAGTTGCCTCTAACAGGAGGAATTGTATATGGCTCCGTTTTAGCTTCTGAAAAAGAAGAGTAGGAAGTCAACCATGTTACTTATCCATCCTCATTCTTCGTTTTAGTAAATGGGTTTCTTTTTCATTCCTGTAACCAGACCTCATCTTAAATCCATTTGTTTCACTTGGCTTGCTATCTTGTCCTCCCATGTTTTATTAGCTGTCTTGAACCTGGCTAATTATATAGTTCTTTTGGGATAGTTCCCTGTCCTTGCAGCTCCTCTCTGGAGCTGGGATACTCTCTAACCCAAAACAGTGGGTGCATATATTCCCATAGCTCTCTAATATTAACCTTCTGTTTGCCTTCTTTAGCCCTGTTCCTGGACAGTTTATATAGTATCATCATTGTGGTTTTACTCATATAATTTTCTAGCAACAACCTCACCCTCCAAAGATTAGGGATAGTTTATGTCCTATATTTCTTATGATAGAGTGGCTGCTTAGATAATGTTTATTGAATGGATCAAATAAAGTGTAGTTTCTTCAAGTTTTCTATTTCTAGGCTTTCTTTGCCACCACACTACTGTAGCACCTGTTACCATGTCAGGACCCTCCTGGTCCCTGCCAGCTGTCACTTAACATCATATCTATCTTCAGTTTCTGACTTTCACTCCTTACAAGTTGCTGAGTTTTTCTCAAACACATGATTCCCAATAGTGAGTGCACTTACTTTCCAGCTTCTTAGTTCCAGCCCTTCTTGACTTGGTTCCTTCATTGTATTGCCTACTGAACTCAAAAATCCTATTTTGACATAAAAATATTACTATTAGTTAACATTTTTTTACTACAAACTCTGAACCAGGCACTATTCCAAATAAAAACTGCTCACCTAACTATAAAAAAACTAGGGTCATATAAACTGTAATAAACCTGATGAAAGTAATTTTGCTATAAAATGTTACTAGATCTGAATAATCAGAAAGCCACATTATTTCACCAGGTAACACCGTACATAGTGGGACATTTAGGAACTGTCATGTTTATCATAGAGCTTATCACAGCTCTTAAATTTCCTGTACAAAGACTCTGCACAAAGGATTAGCTTTAAATGATGCAAAAGAAGATGAAAATGAATACAGTAGACTGTTCATGTTTTTATAGGCTTCTTTTGACTTCATGTCTAAGTTTAAACTTGTAAAAGAGTTCTCACATTATATCTGCACATAAGAAAACTTTCTGAATGTATCCAGAAAATATTTCTGAAGACAATGATATTCATTATTATTGCTTCATAATTACATTTTGTAAGTTCCTAATTGGAATTTGATGTTACTTATAATCAATATGTAAGTATAATGCTTTAATATAAAATTGTAAAATGTCAGGTATCGTATTAATACTATACTCAGTGAAGAACACTGCAAAAATGTCATGATTGCCGAGTTCAATATGTAGGATCATTATAAAATAAGCAAGACTATAATTAGTATCAAAACAAAATTCTAAGTCAGATGGAGATATTAATTTTATTTTTTCAAGGTAAAGTGAAGTAAGGAAGAATGATTAAAGGAGAGATATTTTATAATTCCAAAGACACATTCACTATATACTGCAAATATTACAGCAGAATAGATTGACATCATCTTATATTTGCCTTAAATCTGTTATCTTTAAGTTAATAGATATCTATCATTATGGAAATTTGAAACCCTAGCATAAGATATTAAGCTGGTCACTTGGTTTGCAACTGGAACTCTTTAATCTAATTTGGAATGGTAGTTATTATTTTATTTCCACAATAACAGAAATAATTCTGAAACATACACATACCCATAATAATAATACTAATAATAATAATAATAATAATTTGATAGGATGTCAGTCTTTCTTCAGTACTGCTAAATCCTTCAAATAAAAACGAACTTAATCATTTCACTTCTAGTCTGGCAGAAACAGATTTATATTCAAATTATTATGAATTATAGACTGCTCTGGTAATTTACATAGGAGGGTCTTGGTGACAAGAATAAGAAATTCTCATCTGCCAGTTCAATTTATGCCACATCAGAAACATGAAGGAACTGACAACATACAAGTATAACTAATAAATTTATTAGTCAAATACTTAACGCATATACCCCTATAATTAGAGATCAGTAATTATCAAGGGCTTGAAATGCCTTATACCCATAGTTCTTAGAATAAAAGACACATGCAAATCCAGTTGTTTAATCAGTATATCATCTTCTGTGTTCATTTCTGGAGAAAACTACTCTGTAAAAAATAATAAGCTGCACTTGGTAGAGTACTGTGACGTCTATTTGAAAAATATTAGTTTCTTCCTTAGTGTTTCTTCCACTTTGAAGTATTTTCTTTAACAATATGTCCTAGTGATTTTTCCATCTCATAGCTTACAGAGTGGCTGATTTTTCTTTTTAAAATAGAAGTATTCCATTATAGAGAGGGAAAATTGTTATTTAACTTCTATATTGATGCCAGTTAGGTTGTTTCCAATCTTTAACTATAAGATAAAATGCTTTAAAGAATAACTTATACATCCCTTTTTCACCTGTGCAAGTATACTTGTCAATACATTTCCAGAACTGAGATAACTGAATCAAAAATTAAATTCAATTATTATTTTGATAAATATTTCCCAGTTGTATCTCTGTAGACATTTTTTTTTTCCAAGTAATACTTCCACCAGAAATGTATGAGCAATGCTTAAGAGTCTCACCAGGAAAGTTTCTCCAACTTTTGGAATTTTGCCAACTTGATAGGTAGACGTGGTATCTTAGTGTAGTAACTTTAATCTAAATATCTTCTGTTATCAGTGAGGTTGAATCCCTTTCATATGTTTAATAGCTATTTGTACTTCTTTTTAAACGTAAATTTCCTTTACTCTTGCCACATTTTATGTTACATTTTCAATTATACCCTTTGGAAATTTAATCTCCATTTGACCTTTTTACTTCTCAAAGACTACTTTGTTTTCACTTTTGTTCTGCCTCTCTATGCTGGCAACGTATCTTAGGGCACCTTATGTACTTTCTCTGACAATGCTTGCTTGCTCCCTGCACAAACTCTTCATGATCTCATCCACCCTGACCTTGTGGTGCTAAGGGCACAGGTGAGAGAATACGGGTAGGACTAGAGGTGGGAGTGGGTGTTGTTCAGGAACATTTCTGACTTGATGAACATGACCCTTGCTATAAATCCATAGACTAACATGAAGTTCTCTGTGGAGCCTCAAAATACATTCAACTTAAAGTGATCCGTTTGAACAATAGGATCAAACTGAGAAAAGTCTGAGTTCCATTTATAATCGTTTCAAGGATTAGTTTTGCTTAATTAAAATGAAACCTTTGAAATGATGATGTTACTTGATTCCCATTCAAAGATTTTAGTCTCCACGATAGGGTTTAATGACAAGTATCTGGGATTGACTCTCACCTTCACCTCTTTCAGGCAGTGATCTCAGCCTCAGTTTCCTCAAGCAGTAAAATGGTGATTTAATAGTCTCAACCACAAAGGATTGTTGAGTGTTAAATTAAATAATGCATGTAAATTGCTTAGGACAATACTTGCCTTATCCTAAGTAAATACTATGTGATAGATAGTACATAATAATAGTAATAACTAAGCAATAAGTGATAAATGACTAATAATAGACTTACTGGTAAGGGTAATAAAATCACTTTAAACAAAGTTCAAAATTTGTAAAATAGATTCAGATGATTTTTACATTTTTAACATTCAACACACATTGTTAAATCAAAGTTAATGATTGAAGAATTAAGTTGTAATATGATATTGAAAAGTTTAATTAAAATTACCAGCTAATTTTCATTATTGAAAGAATAATATAAATTCAAAATATAAATTCAAAACTTTAATTATATAAGCTATATGTTTTATACATTATTAATATATACTAAGGCAATGTTATTTTGTTTGAAAAAATATATTCATCAGATCAACTTATAATTTTAAAGTTTTATTTAAAAATTAGAAAGATAAAAAAATGTATTGTTATTCATAGTACTTTTTATATTACCACCCATTACACACACACACACACACACACACACACACACTCACAGCAGAAAGAAATATTTCATGAAACAAATGTATATTTTCCATTTGTGTTATGTCCTGATCTGTTCTATTCTTTTTTATTTCAACTCATTTTATTTAGTGTTTTTTAAATGATAGTCATGTCCTATTAAACTGATTTCACAAATCACTAATGGCTTATAATCTGCAGTTTAAAAAATATTGCCCAAAAGTATATATTCTAGAGAATGTTAAAAATAAGTTCTTCGCTAAACTAAATTAGAAAAATATTGGCTTTAATGAAATTAAGTACATTGCCCTAGTGAAATATTTCTCAGTGTTTACTGTCCAAGTTATGAATTTCCAAAAAGAGGATAGATATAAAATACAACATTTTCGAATGGCATGAGATTTTGCAACTAAACCCTCTTTGCTTGTCTTTCCTTCTGTCTTTTCCTCTTCCTTTCTTCCTTCTTTGCTTGTTTTCTTCCTCCTTTTATTTTGAGGAAACACCTTCAGGAGTAGTTCTTAAGAAATGGACTTCATATATTTTCACATTTCAAAAAAGTAATTACCATAGGTTACTTTTGGTTATAACAGATCTCATCTTTTTTTATTTTTTAATTGGCTCAATTCACATATTTTTACATATGAACTTTGAATCTGTCAAACAAAATTGCTGTAACTCTAAAAGCTTCGACTGTTTTATCCTATTGCTTTTGTTTTAACTAGGTCTCTCTTTTATTATAAATTGTATATTACACATGTTCACATTATAAAATCACATTTACATCATAAATAATGGCTTACTGTTAAAATCCTTTATTTAGATGCCAGCTATATTTACTCAGTCCTCTTGATGGAATTCTACACATTGAAGAAACATTTATGTTGCTTTAAATCAATAAGTAGTAACCACTTATTATTTAGCAACAAAATTTTTTTTTAAAAGATCAGAACTAATATATATTGAATTCCTAGTATATACCAAAGTCCTATTATTTACAAATATTTCATTGGTAAATTTTTGCTGCATAACAAGCCACTGTAAAAACTAGTGATTTAAAATAACAATGATTTATTATTTCCCATAATTCTATGGGTTAGTAGGGCTCAGCTGGACAGTTCTTCTGTTGATCTTGCCTGCAATCATGTGGCAGCAATCATTTGACAGCTCAACTGTGGCTGAAGTATCTAAAATGACCTTGCTACATATCTGGGACCTTGACACTTCCTTTTAGCTGGGTTTCTTTTTTTCATGTGGTCTCAAAATTCAAGACCTCTGAGGTAAAGGCCTCAGAGACTTCTCAGTTGTGCCACATTGTATTGGTCAGGACAAGTCAGAAAGTCAGCCAGATTGAAGGACTGGGGAAATAGATTCTACCTCTTGATAAAAAGGGCTGGAAATACCATGGCTTTGTTTTTCAATACAGCACAGATGATTTTTTTTCTTTTTTTTTTTTTTATAAGGAGTCTCACTCTGTCACCCAAGCTGGAGTGCAGTGGAATGATCACTGCAACCTCCGCCTCCCAGGTTCAAGCGATTCTCCTGCCTCAGCCTGGAATTACAAGTGCATGCCACCATGTCCAGCTCATTTTTGTATTTTTAGTTTTTAGTACAGATGGGGTTTCACCAGGTTGGCCAGCCTGGTTTCGAACTCCTGGCCTCAAGTGATCCGCCAGCTTTGGCCTCCCAATGTGCTGGGATAACAGGTGTGAGCCACTGCGCCCAGCCTTCAATATAGCACAGATGATTTCTATTAAAATCCTTATGAGAATGCTATAAATTATGTTAGAAGATAACTGTTTTAGAGCAGAAACCTCAAAAGGGGTTGAAGTAAAAGGCATCTATTCTTGATGAGAAGGAAATGGTAGCTTATACAATATATAATATGGAGTAAACAGTTGATAATAGTCTATGCTGGGCTTTACTCAAGTAACTTGTTCCATTTAAAAAATTGTTTAAGGAGAGTTATGACTCATTCTTGTGGGAGTAATTGCAGTATAGTAGAAAAAGCAGATGTTATACAATGGTAGAACCTGGGTGTGAATTCTGGCTTTCCCAATTATTGGTTATGTGGCCCGTGGCTAGCATAACACAATCAAAGTTTCTTTAAAAGTATTTAGGTTACTGGTGGTAGTTTTCCATATGGATCTGCAGCAACCTCAATTCTTGCCTCCTCTAAAGAGAGAATTCAACTGAGGTGCATAAGGCAGAAGGAGAGAGTGAGGCACATTTTAAAGCAGGAATGAAAATTTATTAAAAAGCATTACAGCAGTAATCAAAGGAAGGAAAGTACACTTGGGAGTGGGCCAAGCAGGTGCCTTGAGAGACCAACTTCATGGCTTGGCCTCTTGACTTGGGGTTTTATATGTTGGCGTACTTCCGGGGTCTTGTGTTCCTTCTCCCCACTCCTGAAAACTTATTGGGAAGCTGCTGATCAGTTTCAGGTGTTTTCTATCTATCTATTAGGAGCATGTTTGTCTCTGGCACTGGCTGTGGCCAATTGTTACTTCAGAGAGATAGTTAACAATCACCAGACCATCACCTGGTCGCCCAATACTCCTGGTGTGTGTATAATGGGAGCTCTCTCCTGCCCTGCTCATGCCTGACCAGCTACCTACTGTAACTTTCAGGTAATGATAAATGAAATAATTTTGGAATTGTTTGGGCATTCAGTAAATAATAATCAATAATAATTCAATAAATGATAATCTCCTTGGTCTTTTTCTCTACCTCTTTGGAATTTTTTAGTATCTATTTAAACAAAACAAAGTAAAAACTAAATTCCAAACTGCATTTTACTTTCTCCTTAGCCTTTTCCACTGACTAACTTAAAGTACAATATAAGAAAATATGACTATATGATACATTTTACTTTTTTTCATTGATTTAAAGTGTCATCACAGAAGGAAAAGAGATAAATGTTTAATTTTCAAAACTAGAAGAAAAGCATGATTTAAAAAACAATGACTCATAAATGATTTAAACTGTGTGTATATATATGTGTTGGAGAATGGGAATTATATAACTGCATTATAAGTGCTTTGGACAATAGAAATACTAAATAGTAAAAAGAAAAAAAAGCCTCATAGTTTGAAAGCCAGCTTGTATTTGTAGCAAACCTCTAAAAGAAGCCTAAGAGATACGTCAACATTTGAAACCATTAGTCATAATGACACAACACTAGCACTCCAATTGGATGATATGGAGAGGACCACGTTGGGACTTATATTTTGATATTATCTAACCAGAAAACAAAATAGAGCACCCAAATTTTGGGTAAAGAAAGAAGAAGGCTTTAGGTAGATGCCAGGGTGCCTCTAAGGTAGAAGACAGATGCCTCTTTTGAGTTACTGATTCAAGATTTTTGTAAAGGAAAGCTTTAAAGTATGATAGTCTTGTCTTTCCAAGTGTTTTCTTCAATCTTCTGCTAGACCTTAGCTCTGTAAAACCTAGAGGTTTTTGTGGAGTTTTTTTGGGGGGAGGAAGGGATCCTATAAACAAAAATAAAGCAGTGAGTTTGTGTTGAGGGAGTCTAATACATATTTCAATCGATATCAAAGAAACCGTCTTCTTCCAGAACAGTGAGACAGAGAGGCAGAAGCAGTGGGGAGGGCAGAGGCAGTAACAGGTCCCTCTTCTAGATGGTGATGGGCAGCATCCCTCTGGTGATTGCTAGATATGGTAACCGGGAAAGGGCCAGGCCTCTAGGAGGCAGAGAGGGAATAATAATGAGAAGGACACTGCCCAGGAGACTGTCAGAAGTTAAAGGAGCCTAGAAAGAAAAAACACTGCTCTGCTTACCTTAATTTATTATTTCCCCTACCTCCACGTCCAAGGTCACTATGGACAAGGCAACCCCAGTATTACCCTTTGTATGTCCCAAAACATCTCTCAGAAAATATTTTCATGTTTCCTAAATTCAAAGATATACAAGTGTATTAAACAATTACTAGGGATCTCAAAGGGATACCTCATTGCAGTTAGGCAATGAAGGTAATTTGATTTTTAAAAACATGAGTAAGAGCTATAGTGTCTGTTACATAGTTGCTTCCTTTTATTCTGGAAATAGCCACAGACACAAAATTCTTACAGCCTTATCTTCCATTTTCACTCTTAGCTGTTACAAAAACATGCTTTGCATTATATTTAGATAAATAATATTGATACCCTTTTATAAATTTGTCTTGTTCTTTTTGCTTTTTTGGACCTCTTTTGGAATACATCTGTATGCATTGTGTCCAGTAATATTGAGAGTTGTACCTTCCATGATCCTTTGCCATTGCATGATGAAACGCTCTATTTATATTAAAATGAAGGTAGTCCTAGGGGAGACATAGAGCAGAATGAAACAACAAACAGAGCTTTAGAGACTGAATATGTGAAGTGACAGTGATGGCAGAATGGTAGCTCTAGTTACTGAGTGGCCCAGAGGACTTTAGAAAGACTTATAGCTCCAGCCGCAGTGCCTTGAACGTGGCAGCTCCCACAGGTTTAAGTACTCACAGTACAGCAGCTAATCAAATAATTTCTCCTCTTGCGCATCTCGACTTGGTATGTCATTGTAATAATATGTAGCTGGCTGAGGGTCAGGGGATTTTTTTTTCCTCTTCTGTTAACCAAATGAAGCATTTTATCAAATGATCAAATTTCTTCATAGCAATATTGTGATTACAATGATCTGTTTACTCCAGGTAATGAGAGGATAAGCCACGAAAATCACATTAACTTTAATGTGATATTACACCAGCCTTGAAAATAAAGAGGAGCAAATTAATTGAGATACTAAAGTTCTTTCCTTTAAGTCTAATTTTTATGGTAATGGAATGGAGGAGACTAAGAGGAACTTAACACAGTGTTTCCTTGGGATCCTTGGGGCCATTCAACCATTTGTCCAAAGTGAGGAACGGTCAATGAATAATGTGGAGAAAGGCCTGGGTTTTCCCTTCAGCTTTGTTACTCTTTGGATACATAGTCACATGAAAGTGATTTTACATCTTTTGGATGCAAATTCATTATCTAAATACCATATTGGATTAAGTGATCTTTTAAGTTTCCTTGCAAAACTAAAACCTATTATTCTTACTGGAATTTGCATTGAGCAAAAATTAAAAAAATATTTATTGGAAGAGCTCAAAATTTATCATTCCCTGACTGATTGTTTTATTAAGATTGTTTTACCTTCAAGTGAAGCATCATTACATGAGCTAGAACATGTTTCCAGACTAGAAGTTCATGGCCTCAGTTGTCATATGTATTGGACAGACTTTCTGAGAATTTTGGACCAGCACATGAGCTCTCCAACAGTTAATCTTTTATTCAGGTATAGTTTCTTCTCTGGCTCCTCATTTATTTTTTGTAAGAGATGGAAAATCCTCTACCAGGTCAACTGTCAGTTAAAATATGTAAGTCCATATTTAACTAAAACTATAGATAATCTACATTCTGAGTGTTTGCCAAAGAGTGTAATTTCAAACTCTTTGCTTTCCAATATCTATCAAAAGATCTGCAGAAAGAAACAATATATAGAAAAGATTGCTTGAAAGATGAAATCCATCCATTATTCCAGACACTTTAAAATCTACCCTTGGATTTGGACAAATCAGAAGACAGCTGCATACCTGGATGGTATTGTATTGACCCCTATGGGACTGCCTTTACTAAACTGTTGTTTTAGAGTGATGCCAACAATATTGTGAGACTTGTCATGTGTCTACTCTAAGAGTGTGGTTGAAGATGTAAGCCAGTATATTACATGGTGCTGGTTTTATGAGGACCATGGGGAGATATTTCTGTCGGATATTAGTAACAGCAATAATTTTGTTGTCCTAACAACTGTTCTGGTTTTATCTTATATACCTTGTAAATTGTGTAACTGACCAGGTTTCTATTTTCCCACCGACTGTTAAAAAAAATCTTAGGACAGATTTTCAGCCTACCAGTAGCAAGTTTTTATGATAGGAATTTTTTTAGAGGTCTCATATCTGGCTGCTCTATCTTATGACCCTACCAATATTTTCTTTTCACTTTATTTCCCCTGCTTTTTAATTCAAGTTGTCTCTTCATTTTATTTTTTCTTTTAATCTGACAAATTATTTCTGCACCTGGGTGAGGTATGTATTTGCTTATTTATGTGTTGTTTTTTCTCTGCCTTATTTCAAAAAGATTTAAAAGAGTTTAACAAAATTTATGCAATTATACTTAAAATATATAAACCAGTAAATTGGAAAACAAGGTGAAAATTAAGGCGCATCTACTTGATTTCTATCTTAGTGTCTTTGGGTTGCTATAACAAAATACCTTAAACTGGTAATTTATAAATAACAGGAATTTAGTGATCACACTTCTGGAGGTTGGGAAGTCCCAGATCAAGGCATAAGAAGATTCCTTCTCTGATGAGGGACTATTTATCATACATGGCACCTACTATGTATCCTCACATGGTAAAAGAAAAAAGGGGGCAACAGGCTCCCTCAAGCCTCTTTTATAAGGGCACAAATCCCATTAGAATAGCTGTATTCATAGCTCATGTGCCTCCATTTGGAGGCCTCTTTATTAGGGGCCTTCAGCTAAGGTCTTCCTCAGGCATCTCTACTGAGACCTACTTTTAGAAGGAGGGTGGTACCTTGAAGACAATTTTCCCCACTCTCACTCAGTACTTTTCTACCCCTAGTTTTTCGTCGTCTGCTTTACTCCCCTACCCAACCCAGGCCCGTAAAATGCAGGTGCCTTTTTTGGGAGGCTCTCTCTACAGGTATTTTACATTAAATGCAACAATGGAGAACCCAGTACTTTTACCTATTTATTTAGCCTCTTGTTACTATCACAGAAAGTAATTAAAGGCTTGATTATTACTTTAATTTTGGCTTGTTGTCTTAATTGGCTACCCTGAGCTCAGCTCTATCCGGCTGAACTCAGCTCTCGACAAACCCTTGATTTCATGTTTGGTCCCAAGAAGTATTTTACTTTGAGAATTTTTGCTAACTGAAGAGACTGGGACTGAGAGTCTGTTTTGTATTTTAGCTCAGCAAACCCTGGCCTTGTATATCTTTCTCTAATTATTCTTGCAGACTAAACAACTCTTTCTTCAGCTCATCTCTCTTTTCTTGTACCTTATCATATTCAACTAAGACAAGCTGCTTGGCACTTTCAATATTCTGTGTAAAGATGTCCTAACTGTAAAATGAAGAATAAGCCACAAGTTTATTGCATATATTTCCCATCTTTCAAATTACTGCAGGTGACAGTTTTGCAATTGTTCTGTGCTATATACCACAGGTCACTCATTCTCCAGCCTCTGAAAGTCCCTTTCCGTCTTGCTACCTAACACCAGCTGCTCAGTTCCAAAGCCAATGCTACATATTTAAAGTTCTATAAGACAGTCTCCTACTTCCAGTACAAATTTACCTCTCAGTTAAATATGGCTGCCTAATACACTGTACCAAAACTTAGCAGCTTAAGTAATTAGAATTTATTATTTCTTTGGATTCTGTGGGTTGCTGGGTAGTTTCTTTTGTGCTCACTCATGTGACTGCATTTAGCTGCAGTTTGGTTGCATGAGAAGGTTCAAGATGGCCTCACTCATTGTATTAGTCCCTTCTCATCCTGCCAATAAAAGCATATCAGAGACTGGTAATTTATAATGGAAAGAGATTTAATTGACTCACAGTTCCACATGGCTTGGGAGGCCTCACAATTATGGCAGAAGGCAAGGAAGAGCAAAGTCACGTCTTATATGGTGTTAGGCAAGAGAGCTTGTTCAGGGGAGCTCCCATTTATAAAACAATCAGATCTCATGAGATTTATTCACTACCACGAGAACAGTATGGGGTAAACCACCCCCATGATTCAATTATCTCCACCTGGCCCCACCCTTGACATGTGGGGATTATTACAATTCAAGGTGAGATTTGGGTGGGGACACAGCCAGACTATATCACTCATGTTCAGCAGTTGGTGCTATAAATCTGGGATGCCCCAGATCTTCTTCATATGGCCTTTTGTCCTCCAGTAGGCTAAACTGACCTCCTTCATGGAAGTTTCAGGGCAATTCCCAAGAAAAAGAAAGCAAAAACTTCAAGACCTCTTGAGGTTGAGCCTTTGGAATTTATACAATGTCTTCATTGTGGTGGCTTACTAGGATGCAGTTCACAAGACCAACCCAGACTCAAGTGGCAGGGAAATGAAGGCCACCTCATTAAGAAGAGCTGCAAAATATTTGTGACCACATTTAACATGCCATATTCATGACCGTATTTAACACACAATATTTCTCACAAAAATAGGAGGATTTTGGTCCTGACCAGGTATGTGCCCCAAAGAACTTGCTTCCTATGTGGTGATAGCTACCCTACCAAAAGTTGCTCCAGTCTGCTTCTCCTGGTTCAGTTCTTGAAATCTTGCTTCCATCCCTGGATTTTGAACCTTAGCTCTGGTCTTTTTTGCACAGGATTCCTACTACCTTTTTATTTTGCCTCTCTATGTAGTACCTTCTTGTTGATGGCTTATTATTTTGTCTGTCTCATTGACAGTTTTCTTATGGAATGCTGAATCTTCAACTGAATGCACTGATATCCATAGACCAGTGGGTTTCTATGCCAGTCCAGTGTCTTGAAAATCCTGTCTATATATTACCACCCATTCCCAGATTTGTCAGAGTTGAGTCACTCACTGCCTGGTCTTTCAAGAATGTGCCCTGATAACTCACGATTTACAATGTTTTTAGTTCTTGGTTCCAACAACTCAGAAGAAAACAAAGCCTTATTTTTAGTAGAGCATAACTTTTGTTCTATTGTAAATGATAACCATTTTTCTTGGCAATAACTTGAAGAAAGATCTATTAAAATATCTATATTTTAATACATTGTGAAAACACAGATTTCATGTAAAGGGGTGGCATAGACTTTAAAGAAAAACACCAAAATCTAGGAAAATCAGAAAACAAATATGGCATGAGTACAACTAATGTTATAAAAGACAATAACATAGTATGAAGGACGCTCATTTATACAATACTTAAATTTTAAACATAATCTTTCCAAATTCATGCTATCAAGGAAACAAACTATTGGTATTAATTCATCAATATTTTATGCCTCTACAAAAATTATAATGAATAAACTGAGAGGATTCATGGAGGTGAGAGAACCTAGGTAAAATTAATTGCTTCCATCATAGTATAAATAGAAAAGGGCTCCGTATAAGCACTGAGACTTCTGAGGGAGGAAAAAGTCATTTTATAAGAGCTGAAAACATCTGAAGAAAGAGTTACCATGGCTTATGCTGGCCTAGATTAAGCCCAAAGCAAACCTTCCAACTGTTGTTGAATTACAAGTTTAAAAATCTTCAGAAAGTTTCCTTTAAGTACATATCTTAACAAAATTTGAGTTTTTATGAAAAAGTTAGAAGTTAAGAAACTACTTTCCTGTAATATAATTTAAGGACAAATACTAAATGTAATATTTAAATAAACATTGTAATGTTTTGATGGAGACATACTGATGAATTAAACCTACTTACTCACATTTTTAGTTATTCAGCACAAATATAAGATTATAAGTATTAATATACAGTAGTGTCTATGATGATTATGTTCCTTTCAAAATGCTCTCACAATATTATACTAATTATACAAATCCATTTACACAAAAACTTAGCAAATAAATTATTGATATGTTATTTGCTTGATATTATATATTTCAGAGCTAATAAAACTCACTTTAATTTTGTTCATTTAAGATATATACTTTCCCATTGCTTCACATGTGGTATTAACTAAAAAATTATTTACATAAGTTTTATTTTCAGGTACATATCAATGTCTTCTTCATTTCCCTATCACACACACGTTTATTTTATTTTACATAGAAACATAATCAACCTACCATTATACATTTGGGTTTTTTAGAGTTTTTTCAGCAGATTATGACAGTATTACCTCACACTCAACACATTTGTAGGATTGAATATCAGGCTGGGACTTTAAATGTTTATTATTACTGTGGTTATCTGATACAACAGTGAGTAAGAGTGTTGGATTACTTTTTGCTCCATGTTTATGATCTTCCATTGAACCTACAATGCTTAGAATTAACCACATTCAGCCAAGTATCTCTAAATAGACATAGAACTAAATGAAACATAACTATTTGTTAAGCAAAAAAGAAAAAAGGAAAGTCCCAGTAACAAGCAATATCCAACTTGAGCCTACTTGTGCATTGTCATATGGTCATCTCACTCCTTATAAGGCAGGTCTCCTCTATGACCTTGAATTGGGGTAGAAAAAGTGGTTAGAGATCCCTTTTGAAATTGCCACCTGCAGAAGGATGGGAAAAGCTGAATGATTTTTTTCCATCATCTCTCCCTCTCCTTTATATGCATTTCAGTAAAAATTTATAGTAGATTAGGACTACTAGTTTTCTTTATTTATGCTACAACTTAATATCTGGAAAGAATTTTTCTATAAACTGTTTTCAGGAATGTGTTGATTATACTGACAAAATACTATGTAATTTAAAAGTAATTGAAATCTATATATGAGAGAGAGAGAATAAGTGAGGGAGGTAGGTAGGTAGATAAATTCATAACAAATAGGAAGATAGATTGGTATTTTGCAGGACAGTAGAACATTATAAAGATAAGACTTAGAAATTCAATACTGGAAGTATCATTATAAAAAAAATGTTCAGGAAAAGGTTCATATTCAGTCAGTTTTACCCTTAGTCATTTTTTTTTTCCATTCACAAAGCAGGAAATGATGTTCTTTCTGTAGTCCTGGAAACTATGCATAAAATTGCAGGTCCAAGAAAGTGTCAATTGCTAGCTCCCTTCCCACTAACTCACCCATAACCTCTGGGAACCCTCTTAACCTCATCTGTAAAATGAGGCGAATAACCTTGACCTGTTTTATTGGCTGTTGGGAGGTTTGGCAGTAAATGTTTGAAAAGCACTTTAAAAACACACGCAGATGAAAAATTAAAAAAAAAAGGTCATTTAGGTGACAGCAGAAATGCATACAGTTTTTGAGGTGTACCAAGTTAAACAAGTGTGCACCTGAGACCCCTGAGTAAGAGACATGTGGTGAGTGATTCATGTTCTGTCTGTCTTCAGTGGTAACTGCTTGTCGTTGAAGCACTAGATAAGACAACATCAATAGAAAAAGGCTGTTTGACTATTCCCAGAGAACTGTAATTTCATTATTAGGGGCTCTAAGCAAAAATTTAGCACTATAAACACTTTCGAAAAATATAAATGCAAAGAGAGCTAAGGTGGAAAGGGAAAGATCTCAGAGACAAAAACACTGCATTTTTCCATATAAATGGGAGGGTTTGAGAGTTGCTTGAAAGTCAGAATGATGAGTATCAGCATGGTTCATTAAGAAGGAAACAATGCAAGAAAAAATACACCTGGCATGGAGCCCTTTACTCAAATCAAGAATGGCTAATTGAAGCAAGTGTATTCACTGAGGGCAGAGATAGGCAGAGATGCCCTTTAGCATGCCTTGTAATTTTCTGTTGAAAGTTGGGCATGGTGTATCAGGAAAAAGGAACTGAGGTAGTTAGGCCTTTAGTGTGAGGTCGATGGTGATCTGGTTAAAATTTAGACTCTGTTTTCTATTTGCTGTCATCATGGTGTCATAGGCTAAAATTTCCTCTGATGTCCTTGTTTTGTCTCTTTTGTTGTCCTTGGGTTTCCCTAGAGACTCCTTAACTAGAGATTGAGGCTTATAGTTCTTTTAACTTTAATCATTTACGATTCTACAGGAGTTTTATTAATGTGGTAAGGCATGGCGGGGGGAGGGAAACAGTCTATAATTCTCTGATTAGATCTCAGTCTTAGTTTTTACCCAGTACCTAAGATGGGTATTTCATTTGCTTCACATTGAAGGCTAGAAGGAGCTACAATTGGGTATTTCCTTTTCCTCCAGGGTGCTAATTTTCAGTGTCAACTTGACTAGATTGAGGGATTCCTAGATAGCTAGTAAAAGGTTATTTCTGGGTGTGTCTGTGAGGGTGTTTCTGGAAGAGATTAGCATTTGATTCAGTAGATGAGTAGAGAAGATCCACTCTCACCAATGTGAATGGCCATCCAATCCCTTGAGAGCTCAAATAGAACAAAAAGGCAGAGGAAGGGCAAATTTTCTCTCTCCTAGAGCTGGGATAGCTACCTTCTCCTGCTCTTGGACATCAGAGCCCCAGACTGCCAGGCCTTTGGACTTCGGAACTTACACCAGCAGCCCATCTTCCCCAGGTTCTCAGAGTTACAAGTCTGCTTCTCAGGCCTTTGGACTCAAACTGAATTATACAACCAGTTTCTTTGATGGTGCAGCTTGCAGACAGCATATTGTGGGACTTCTTGGCCTCCATAATTGTGTGAAGCAATTACTCTAATAAATCCCCTGGAGAACCCTGACTAATACATCAGATCATCTAGTCTTTGGTAAAAAGACTCCAGTTGGTTAGGCTCTGGTAAAATAGTTTCTCTTGAGTGTAAGCTTTGTTAAGAAGAATAGGAAGTTCTGAACGTATTTCAAAATGGTTACTTTTCCCCTCTCCCTGCTAGAGTTAGGAGGGGAATTTTCTCCGATATTTAGGCTGTAAGGTCTTGTATTAACTTTCCTCAATTTGTAAACTTACAATTTGGTAAAGCAGAAATAATTCTATAAACATTTATGATATTTTTAAAGTTTCTTTTTGATAATAATTCTCTTAACTATTAGATGGAAAGTCCATATTAATTAAAATCCATGACCCTCTTGAAAGAGAGAGGGTCATATAAGTCACAAATTACGGTTTAATGGGAAAAGCAAGGATACTCCAAATAGCTTAGACATTCTATTCTATAAAAATGCTCTGTGATTTAGGAGGGGTTACATCCCAATAAATGCATTGCAAGGTAAAAATATTATAAGGTAAAATGGGCATTTTGTAGACATGATGAGATGCAAAATCACAAAAAACGGTAACCCAAGAATGTGGCACACAATGCGTGTAAACTATTGCTTGTTTACTCTCATGATGACATGGCTGGCTGGGAGCTTCACCTTTCTACTGCGGCCCAGCATCTTCAGAGAGTGTTGTACTGCATATTGCTAGCCCAGGAAAAGATGAAAATTCAAAGTAGGGATCCTACTGAATGCATATCACTTTTGCAACATCATAGAGTCAAAAAATCCTAAATCAAACCATCATTAAGTCAGGGACTGTCTGTAGATCATCTAAATGGTATTCATGATTTAGTTTTGGATAACAAAGGACAATTTTAAACAGTCTTTCTTCAATTAAAAAGTAGAACCATTTTGAGATACTAGAGATTGATATTTTAGTTTTAGAAATTTGAAGCATTATTCTTCCAAGTCTCTATCTGTAAAAATATAAAATAGAGAGAGATCAACTTTAAGCTCTTGTCTATATAATTCCCTTACAGATAAAAAAAAAATCACAGGAGTTTTTAGTTGTTGGTTGTTAAATATATTATGTAAAGTAGAATCCTTTGCTTTTTTAATTAGATTATTTTATGATGTTACACAATTTGGAATTAGTGAAGACCAAGAGTTATTTAAATTATAACTTAGGGAAATCGGTTCTCTGTGTAAGCATTAAAAAAAAGAACTAATAATAAGGTAGAAATCTGTGTAAAGATAAATGTTAAAGGAAACACATTTTCTTTAAGGCGATACTAAATCCAATTATAGTCTGACAGCCCTTTCATAGGAAGAACATTGCATTAAAATATTTGGACCTCCAAACATAATGTATAATACAGTAAAACTAGTTTTTAGTATCTAATAAAAATATGCAGCTGTTTAAATTATAGGGTTTTTCTCATGTGTTCAGCATTTCCTTCTTATTATTGTCTTTTCAGTAGATTATTAGCCCAAATAGTTATTACTAAATTTATTCTTCTTTTTCTAATAAAATAAGTCTCAAATCATCAGATACATATAATATTGCATTATGTAAATTATAACAGGAGGATAAGTGTTAATTTTTTCCAAATTATGCATCAATAAGGCATGCAATATGTGCTCAGCAGTTCTGCAAATAGAAGTATACAACCAAGTTATGGCAAATTAAAAGGCTGTGGCAGCAATGCAGGGGCTAGTGGAAGGGTGAGAGATGTGTTCTACTGAGGGTGTTTACTCCAGTTTAATTCATTTTGATTGTGAATGGTGTATGCAGAAGCAGAGTAGTACCTGACTTCCAAAAATTGTAAGCTGCATGTTGACAGTTGCCTACTTTGCATTTGTCACTCAAGCTCTTTTTTCTACTGCTATGAATTAGACGTTATAGAACCATACAAAAAGCGACCTGATTCTTTAAAAGCACCACAGTTAAGAAAATATCTACATCTTGCTTTTGTAAACATGCATTTTGCCTTTGCTTTTTGCATCATATTTAACAAAGGTCTATGATGTCTCAAAATTTTCTCTCTTAATATTGAAAAGTTAATTAGAAGTGGAGGAATGGGATGAAGCTTTTCTAATAACAAGTCAAATTCATTTGAACAGTAAAAATAATTGCTGTAAGAAATTAAGGTGCAAGCACATGCCTGCTGTAATTGGTGCGTACTTATTAGGAGCTCTTCTTTTGCAACCTCTCTCGGTATTTGGGGCCCATGATAATGTGAATACTTAAGGGAAAAGTGTGATTAGGGATGGTGTCGTTCATTCAGTAAACATTTCTTAGTGTTTGATGTGACTGAACTGCGCGTCACATATGATTTTACACTTTTATCCTTTCAGGCAACTGACAGGTCTCTAATCTCCATCTCAGAACCTTCACTCAGCTTGAACTTTGGCTCATAAAGGTCATTTTTGAACCGCTTGGGACAAAGAGCCACGTCCATGAAATCCCACAGAGTCGATAGATGCAATAATAGCTTTAGGCACATTTTCTTAAGACCCAAGGGGAAAGACAATTTCAATAAATGTAAAACTATGCCATCTACAATCCACACGATATCTTAGCAAATCTCATAGGAATAAATCTTCTCTTTTCCTCCAGGCAAGAACCTCCTTAACAATAATGATGCAAGATCTTATTAAGAGTATAAGATACTAACTATGCCAAAACAAAACGCAACACACACACACACACACACACACACACACTAGCCTCAAACACAAAAAGAATATTCATAATTTGATATATTGTACTTATCTTTCAATAGCTTGTAAATCATGTTCTGAATATTTAGACCTCAAATTGTGAAAAGGGCTATAAATGTATGAAAATGGACCAAGTTAATAATTGGAAAATGACTTAGGTATATCATTCAATTATGGAATGATTTAAATGTAGTTTCTTTTTTTCTTTCAAATCTTAGTCTCCAGCTTGTCTTAAAAAAGACAAAAAGCAAAAAACTCACAGGTTAGATATGTCAGGATAATTAACAGAAAGATCCTCAGCAGCAGATGTCTGAGATAAGTAGTAAAGGGCATTCTCTTCCCTTGACATGCCATCAAAGGGAAAACAACGACTATTTAAATGAAAGAAGTGAAAATTATATGGGTTTATGCTATAATTTAAATAATTAACAAAGATATTTTAAAATCATGATTTAATCTAGAGAACAATTGAGACTTCATGACAATTTTAATATTAATTTTCTTTGATTGCCACAAATTTTAGCATTGTCTTTGATTTTTTTCTTTCCTTGATAAATTTCATGATGCAAAGGAATGCTTCTTGAAAGTAATGTATCCCCTCCAGCAAAATATTTTACTCAATTTGCCTCAGAGAATTTTGCTGGCAAAAAAAAAAAAATAAAAATAAGAAAAAAATGCTCCAGAAAAACTTCAAATTCAACAGCTTAAAAGTATTTTTAAAAATAATCTTTTCAAATAAAATTGTTCAGTAGGTCAAAATGAATCTGAAACTCAAATTTTTATTTTAATGTTATCTTAATATTCTAATTGTGTGCCTTTCCCCTCTTTTTCATTTATTTCAAATAGCGTGAATGCAACCAATCATAAATCCATCCTTCAAAATAGATATGTTAGGAAAGCTTTCCTTATTTACTTTTAAAAGGTCTCCTGAATCGTAACTGGTGCCAACAGAGAAATTCTTCTAAAGGTAGTTTACTCTACTCTTAACCAGAAAGTGATGGAGGCCAGTGCAAATAACATTCACCTGATTCTGTAAAACTCATAATAAGAAATAATGAAGCATCTGGCAGATAGGGAAAGGTCCAAGAAGAAACATTTTGAACGGAAAGTGTATCAGTCCCTTTGGCAAAGACTTACTGGTTGGCAAAGACTGTTGTTGCTTCAGGAAACCCTTGCCTGTCATTTTCAGAGTAAGAATATATATTTTTCCATGCATTCAGTGTTGTCTTCAGAGTGGAATTAGTTCTTAGGACCAATAGTAAAGCATGTTCTTGGTTCCTTTTTCCCTCAGAAGTAGTTTAGAGTAGTGGTTCTCAAACTTTGCTGTTTATTAGAATCACCAAGTATCTTAGACCACTTGTGCTGCTATAACAAATACGTCAGACTGGGTAATTTATAAAGAACATAAATTTATTTTCTCATATTTCTGGAGGCTGAGAAGTCAAAGATCAAGGCATTGGTAGGTTTGGTTCTCTGGGGAAAACTACTCTCTGCTTCCAAGATGGCCTCTTCAGGAATTCTGAATCCTCAAATGCCTGAAGCCAGGTGGAAAAGTTCACAAAACATGGAATGAAGCCTCTTTTATAAGGGCTTTAATCTCATTCACAAGGGGAGAAGCCCTAAAGGCCTAATCACCTCTTAAAATGCCAACTCTTAATACCATAAAGTTGGCCATTAAGTTTCAACACCTGAATTTTGGAGGGGACACATTCAAATCATTGCACCAGATCAGCTATTAAAAAATCCCCATGCCAATTAAATCAGAATCTCTGGGGCTGAGACCCACGCACCAGTAGCATCTAGAGCACCCCAGATGATTCCACTGTGTAGCCAAATTTTAGAACCAATGATTTAGGGCATTTATACAACACAAGTGAATACAAATGTGTACAGACCTGCAAAAGTAAGGCATCCATATTCCTGCACTCATTTTAATACAAGCATAGGGAATAATGTAACGATAATACAAAAGCCTTCTCTAAAAGAATAGAGTGACATGGATTTTATGAGAGTAAACATTGGGATTAGAGATGCAAAAGCATTTTTTATTCAGAGCATGTGACTTCATTTCTTATAGCAGGGATTTGGATAGAAATGAAGTTCACATAGTTGCAGTTTCTTGAATATTCACTTTTTGGGAGATTGTCTCCGTTTTGGCAAGTTAGAATGCTGTTGGATGCTGGGAAGAGCAAACTTAAATGACGTAGAATCTAATCCCTCAATTTGCTGCTACTGACTTTGGGTTTGTAGCCTTAGGAAGAATACCACCAGATCTCTGATACGTCTAGCATTTTAAAATTAACCTGTGCACTTGTGGGTTTAGGTGTGCAAACTTTTTTTTCTTCACTTTTCTGGAAGTTTTCCACTCCTAGTACTTTGGGCATGTAAGTGCTTTTATACCCTCATCAGACATAAGACTCTAAACTTCAAATGAGTGATTCTGATTGGCTTTTACCCACAGTATTAATATCTAAAGAAAGACAATTTTAGAATTTATTAGTAACATAAAATTTATATAAAAGAATGGTAAGATGAAAATTCTGATAGTAGCAGGCATACTATCTTTTCATGGTTAGTACTTAAAGGTTTTAAATTCAAACTACTCACCCCAGTGATTTTCTTAAAAAGCAGAAAATTTGCTATTAACTTATTCTGCATCTATATTCCAAAACTATTTTATGTATTCAGAAATACATTAATTTTATGGGGGATTTTTTTGAAATTTTTATTCTACATTTCATTACTATACTTTAAAATAAAATATTCAAAGGACAACTTCAAACTGTTCTAAAATTACACTGTGATATTATGCTCTATCTCTATATAAATATACTAAGAATAATTGAATTGCACAGTTGAAAGAGGTGAATTTTATCAATCATATCTCAACAAAACTGTTAATAAAGGCAAAGAGAAAAAAGACAGCTTAGATAATATAGTGCGAAACCATTTAAATATTAAATGATTCCTTTTGTAATCCACATTCTAGCCAAGCCATTTGATAAACACAGCCAGTTCTTTACATCTTTGGTCCTTGATCCCATTATGATGTATGCTGTCTACCTCCATTGTGCCCTTTGAATTCCTATCCATTCTTGAAGTCCCACCTAATGTCCCACTGTTTAAACAAATCGAGTCTGGAAAGTTTCATAAAAGAGATGAGGCTTTTTTATAAATGACCAGTGATTTTTCAGGAAACTGGGGTTGAGGGAGAGGGATAGAGAGAGTGAATATATACGTTTATGTTTGGGATATATTTGCCAATATTTTAGCAAATAAAAAACAAAATTCAATACAGAATTTTTATGCTGCCAAAAAGGGTAATGAATTTGTTTATAAAACCCTATCCAATACATGTTTGTCGTATGACTATAACGTTAACTGACATCATTGGGGAATGAATTTTTCAGATACCTGACATTTGCCTCTAGCTAGAATATCATTTAAAAAATTATTATTAATAGGAAACATGCAGAATATGATTATTTAGTTTCCCCTGGAAACCTTCAGTTTTGTTCTTCAGTACTTGAGAGGCAAAAAGCCAATGCTGACAGATTAGGACAAAAGGGAGGGATGTAAAAGTAGAAACAGAAGAAATAGGATCAACGACTGATAAAATAAACAAGAAATAAGGGGATAACCACAAGTTTGGAAATTCTGCATGTGTCACTCCAGACATAGACTTTCTTCCCAATATTATTCAAGACCTGTGGGTTACAAATAGAATTTGTATAATAGTCTCAAAGTCCATAATAATGCAGGTCTATATCCTGTCAGGGGTAAATCTCCTACACATATTAATGTCACCTTAGAGCATCACTGAACTACAATGTAGTGCAACCAAAGTACTGAAAAGAGCATTTAAAACTGCAAAATGCTGTGCAAATTATGCCATGTGATTTCCATAATAACATTTAGCAAGGTTTCATTCTACTCTGAAGAATAAAGTCTATTAAAACCTAAAATGTATAGTATATTTTAGGAACATTGTTATCAAAAATAGTTAAAATTTTAACAAAATATCTATGCTCAAGAGATATGAATCAATGAATTTGTACCAATTTTTCTTGCACATTTTTTCTCTAAGAAATCAGATAAATGAGATTTGGTATAGGCAAGGAATCATCAGTCTTTCTGAAATCATACACTAGGTGTTACTAGATACACTAAGTACCACTAGAATTAGAAGGAATAGGACCAGACATAAAGACTGGACATGCTTCTTATCAGGCCACAGATAGTATCTTGCCAAATCTTTTCAGGGTATAGTATACTTGATCTAAATCTAGTAGACAAGTAATAGTCTTCAGGTTTCTTGTGAGTGACTAGGAGCAGATCATGAAGGGGGTAAATTGACCTACACATTATTTTAGAAGAATTGTCTAAAATTCTTATAATCTATTCTCTCTTTTAATGGGATAATTTATAGCTACCCATAAGGAGGAAATAGAACCAAATTGGATGTCAGGAAACTAGCATTCTAGACCCATAGCTACCACTATTTAGTTGTATGATCTTATCACTTAAGAGATACCATCCCTGCATCAAAAATAGTATTTGTTTAATGTAAGATAGTACATAAGTAAGAAATTCTGAAAGTATAAATTCCTCAAATCAAGATTTAAAGTGAAAAGGAATACAAAGACTATATAATAAAATACATTCATTTCTTTCTCAAGATATTTCACCTTAAAAGTTATTTAAAGTACTTGATAGCTTAAAATAATTGAAAGAGCAGAAAGTATAAATTCAGAGCTAAGGGCAGCTCAAAAAAGTATTCATTCATTCCGACCAAGTGGGGAATTAAAGTTAGTCATTCATGCATTCATTCAGTGATTATTATTGGATGAAAACTCTGCTCTAGGTACTATACTGGGCCTTGGGACTAAATAGTGAGCCAAAGTAGAGTCTCTGTCCTCAGAAGAGTTTACAAACTAGAGGGAAACATAAATACATATTACTCAAAAACTCACATGGACAAATGTAAAATGAAACGGGAGCAAGTATGTACAAAATTAACTGTATGAAACCTTATGGAGATTTAAGCTTTTCAGAGAAATCAAGAAAGCTTTCTCTTTAATAAGTGACATGAGTTTAGGTATGAAGATTAACTGAGTTAAATAAAGAAGGAAGGAAATAGTGTGCCAGTCTGAGAGAACAACGTAGACATAAACACTGTGACAGAAGAAAACATGGTGCATATACAAGGCAGTGAATGTCAGTATCGTTGAAGGAAAAAGGAGGGAGATGGAAATGGTGCAAATTAAAGCATGAGAAGGATGGTAAATCCAGAACATGCAAGTCTTTACATACCATTAATGTGACTCCCTATGAGCAATGGGAAACTACTGAGGAGTTGTTTTTTGTTTTTGTTTTTGTTGTTGTTGTTGTTGAGACAGGGTCTCATGTCACCCAGGCTGAATGCAGCAGTACAAGCATGGTTCACTGCAGTCTCGACTTCCCAGGCTCAAGCGATCCTCCTGCCTCAGCCTCTCAAGTAGCCGGGACTACAAGCCCATGCCTGGCTAATTTTTGATTTTTTGTAGAAACAGGGTTTCACTATGTTTCCCAGGCTGGTCCTGAACTCCTGTGCTCAAGCAATCATCCCGTCTTGGCCTCCCAAAGTGCTGGTATTACAGGTGTGAGCCACTGCACCTGGCCTGCAACTACTGGATAATTTTAAGTAGAAAGATGAAATGAGTTAATTTGCTTCTAGCATAAATTGTTCTGGTTTTTTTGTGGAGAATGTGTGGGATTGGTACCAAAATAGATGGAGGTAGACAAGTTACTAGTATATAAAAGAAGAGACAAAAGATGATGACCACTTGACCTCAAGTGGTTATGTGCACCACAGACATAGGAGGATTTAAGAAATATTTAGTATTTGACAGACTGTATTGGTGGACTATACTTAGGGAGTAGAAGGAAAGGGAGTTGTCAGAAAATAGTCTTAGTTTTTTTGGCTGGTATAACTAGATTGTGAAATCATTAATTGGTTGGAGAAATGTGGCAATGAAAAGATCATGAATTTAGTCTTGGTTTTATTGTTTTGTGGTGCTTTTGATATAGCCAAGAAGAGATGTTGACCAGTCAGAAAAATGTGAGCCAGAAATTCAGAGGATGACCTTGGCTTGGAGTTAAAATGTGTGGATTATCTCTGTATAGTTCCCACCTGGGAAGAGAGTTATAGAATGAGAGATAAAGATGGTTTAGGTCCTAGGCTCGAGTCATTTAACATGCAGTAGACAAACAAAGACAGGTGAGTCTGGTAAGAAAGAATAGCCAGAGGGTTAAAAACATAAAATTATGTCTCAAAAGCCAAGGAAATAGCATACATTAAGCCGGAGGACATGCTCAACTATGTGGAATGCTGCTGAAAGTTGAAGTGCAAGGAGGACTAAAAAAATATGAAGACTACTTACTACTTCTATAAGATAGTTTGAAACCAGAATGAAGTGGACTGAGCATGGAGCTAGAGATTAAAATTTGGAAACAGACCCAGAGTAGCCAGTATTGAAGGGAAGAACAAAGCTGGAGGATTCATACTACCTGATGTCAGTCTTTACCGTAAATCAAGACAGTGTGGTATTAGCAAAAGAATAGACAAATGGATTGATGGAACAGAATAGGCAGTCAGGAAATAGACCCACACAAATATAGATCTTTGGCAAAGGAACAAAGGCAATAAAATAAATGAAAGATTGTCTTTTCAACATGTTGTGCTGGAACAACTGGGCCTCCACATACAAATAAAATGAATCTAGATACAGACCCTACACACTTTATGAAAATTAACTTAAAGTGAATCACGGACCTAAATGTCAAATGCAAAACTATATAATTCATAGAAGATGGCATAAAAAAGTCTAGATGACATTGGGTTTGGTGGTGACTTTTTAGTTGCAGCACCAAATGTAAAGATCTATTGAAGAAAGAATTGGTAAGCTGGACTTTATTGAAATTAAAAAATTTTGTTCTGCAAGAGATATTATCAAGACAAGGAAATGACAAACCACAGACTTGGAGAAAATATTTGCAAAAGACACATCTGATAAAGGAATATTATCAAAAATATGTAAAGAATTCTGAAAACTTTAAGAATACAAACAACCTAATTGAAAAATAGGCAAATAACTTTAACAGACACTTCATCAAAGATAATATACAGATGGCAAATGAGCATATGAAAAGACGCTCCACATCATGTGTCATCAGGGGAATGCAAATTAAAACAACAATGAGCTATCACTACACATCTATTAGAATGGCCAAAATACAAAACACTGACAACACCAAGTGTTGACAGGGATGTGGAGCAATGGGAACTCTCATTCATTGCTAGTGGGAATGCAAAGTGATAGAGCCAATTTGGAAGACAGTTTAGCAGTTTCTTACAGAACTAAACAACTTTTACCATATGACCCAGCAATTGCACCCCCTGATATTTTTTCCAAATGAGTTGAATACTTATTTGCACACCAAAACTTTCATACAGAAGTTTATAGCAGCTTTATTCATAATTGCCAAAACTTGGAAACAAACAGTATATTAATCAGTGAGTGAATGGGTGAATAACCTGTGGTATATGCAGACAGTGGTATATATGCAGTGCTAAGAAAATTAGCAATGAAGCCATGGAAAAAGATGGAGGAATTTCAAGTGCATATTTTTAAGTGAAATAAGCCAATTTGAAAAGGTTATATATTGTGTGTTCCAACTATATGACATTTGGAAAAGATAAAAACTGGAGACAGGAAAAGGATTAGTGGTTTCCAGGGGTTATGATGGAAAAGGGAGATATAGGAAGAGTCCAGAGGACTTTTAGGGCAGTGAAACAATTTTGTATGATACTATAATTGGAAATACATGTCATTACACATTTGTCAAAACCCATAGCATGCACAACATCAACAGTAAACCCTAATGTAAACTATGGATTAGGGGAGATAATGATATGGCAATTTGGTTCATCAGTGATGACAAACGTACTACTCTGGAGGATGTTAATAGAGAGGGAGATTGTATGTGGTATCAGAGGGTACATGGGAACTCTCTGTACGTCCTGCTTAATTTTGCTGTGAATTTAAAACCGCTCTAAATAATAAAGTCTATTTCATTGCTGCTCTGGACATAGCAGTGGGCTGCGGCTCACATTGTAAATTTTAGCTCCAGATCGACCGCAAGAACAAATCACCAATTCCAAGAGGACCCACAGACCCTCTGAAGGAAGAAGACTGCTCCTGAAGGACCCTGGAGACCCCCCAAAAACTGAGTGCCCTAACTGCGGGAGTAGGAAAAGGAGACCCTCCTCTCCCAAACACACACCCCCACTGGAGAAGCTGAAGGTCTGTTTGCAGGAGAAGTTTCTAACTTTACCTGGAGCTGAGTTAATTTGGAGAGTTGAGTGAAGTATAGGGGTAGAGGAAGCAGCAGAAAGGCCCTGGGAGCTCACTGGGTCCCCTCGCAGCCCATTCCTGCCTGGCACCACAGGGATCCAAAGGGAGAGGAGCAGGGGGGTAAAACTACACAGGGAGAAGAAAATCTCTAGCTGAACTTTGCAACAATTTCAACGGGGTGAGAAGCCTCCTGGCCATAACTTGGGGGAGGGTGCAAATCCAGTGTGCAGACTCCACAATGGGGAAGAACCAAGCCCTTTTCTTTCCCAGGTGGGAGGCAGATAGCCTGGGGCAGGTTTTCAAGCCCATATTGCTCCCCACCTGGAAACAGTCTGGGGGCTGTTGGTGGGGGCAGGGTGGGAGTGAGACCAGCCCTTCGGTTTTCATGGAAGCTGGGTGAGGCCTGTGACTGCTGGCTTTTCCCCACTTCCCTGACAACTTGCATGACTAAGAGGAGGCAGCCATAATCCTCCTAGGGACACAACTCCAGTGACCTGGAATCTCACCCCATCCCCTACAGCAGCTGCAGAAAGACCCACTCAAGGAGAGTCTGAGCTCAAACACATCTAGCCCCTCCCCAACCTGATGGTCCTTCCCTATCCACCCTGGTAGCAGAAGTCACAGAACATATACTCTTGGGGGTTCTAGGGCCCTTCCCACCACCAGTTCCTCCCCATAATACCACAGCTGATGCGTTCTGGAAAGTGCCACCTCCTGGGAGGAGGCCAACCAGCACAAAAATAGAGCATTAAACCACCAAAGCTAAGAACCTTCATGGAGTCCATTGCCCACCCCCTCCACCCCACCCCCCACCCCCACGCCACCTCCACCAGAACAGGCACTGGTATACACAGTTGAGAGACCCAAAGACAGTTCACATTATAGGACTCTGTGCAGGCAATCCTCAGTACCAGCCCATAGCTGGGTAGACTTGCTGGGTGGCTAGACCCAGAAGAGAGACAACAATCACTATACTTCTGCTCACAGGAAGCCACATCCATAGGAAAGGTAGAGAGTACTACATCAAAGGAATACTATGTGGGACAAAAGAATCTGAACAGCCTTCAGCCTTAGACCTTCCCTCTGACAGAGCCCATCCAAATGAGAAGGAACCAGGAAACCAAACATAGTGATATGACAAAACAAGGCTCTTCAACACCCCCCAAAAATCACACTAGTTCACCAGCAGTGGATCCAAACCAAGAGGAAATCCGTGATTTACCTGAAAAAGAATTCAGGAGGTTAGCTATTAAGCTAATCAGGAAGGTACCAGAGAAAGGTGAAGTGCAATGCAACGAAATCCAAAAAGTGATACAAGAAGAACAGTCAGCAGAGTAAACAGACAACCCACAGAGTGGGAGAAAATCTTCACAACTTATACATCTGACAAAAGACCAATATCCAGAATCTACATCGAACTCAAACAAATCAGTAAGAAAAAAAAAAAATCCCATCAAAAAGTGGATTAAGGCCATGAATAGACAATTCTCAAAAGAAGATATACAAATGGCCAACAAACATATGAGAAAATGCTCAACATCATTAATGATCAGGGAAATGCAAATCAAAACCACAACAGGATACCACCTCACTCCTGCAAGAATGGCTATAACCCCAGGTGCTGTAGCTCACGCCTGTAATCCCAGGACTTTGGGAGGCCAAGGCAGGCAGATCACCTAAGCTCAGGAGTTCGAGAGCAGTCTGGCCAGCATGGTGAAACCCCATCTTTACTAAAAATAGAAAAATTAGCCAGGCATGGTGGTGGGCGCCTGTAGTCCCAGCAACTTGGGAGGCTGAGGCAGGAGAATCACTTGAACTCAGGAGGCAGAGGTTGCAATGAGCTGAAATTGCACCACTGCACTCCAGCCTGGGCGACAAGAGTGAAACTCCATCTTAAAATAAATAAATAAATATAAAAATAAAAAAGAATGGCCATAATCAAAACATCAAAAAACAGTAGATGTGAGCGTGGATGCAGTGAACAGGAAACACTCCTGGTGGGAATATAAACTAGTAGAGCTGCTGTGGAAAACAGTGTGGAGATTCCTTAGAGAACTATAAGTAGATCTACCACTGGATCCAGCAATCCCACTACTGGGCATCTACCCAGAGGAAAATAAGTCATTATTCAAAAAAGATACTTGCACATGCATATTTATAGCAGCACAATTCACAATTGCAAAATTATGGAACCAACCCAAATGCCCATCAATCAACAAGTGGATAAAGAAACTGTGATTATATATATATATATATATAGATATATATATATATATATATATATATATATATATTCCATTTAATATATATTCCATTTAAGATATATGTGGCATATATATATATGCAACATATATATGTGCATATATATATATGCCACATATATCTTAAATGGAATATATTTAAACAGAATATATATTAATTTATATATATTAAATGGAATATATATGCACAGTGGAATACTATGCAGCCCTAGAAAGGAATTAATTAACAGCATTTGCAGTGACCTGGATGAGATTGAAGACTATTATTCTAAGTGAAGTAACTCAGGAATGGAAAACCAAACATCATATGTTCTTACCGATATGTGGGAGCTAAGCTATGAAGATGCAAAGGCATAAGGATGCAATCAACTTTGCAGACTTGGCGGGGAAGAGTTGGGGGTGCTGAGGGATGGAAGACTACAAGTATGGTGAAGTGTATACTGCTCAGGTGATGGATGCACCTAAATCTCAGAAATCACCACTAAAGAACTTACTCATGTAACCAAATACCACCTATACCCCAATAAATTATGGAAAAATAGTGATAATAATAGATAAAAATTATAAAGAGTGAGTAAAGGCAACTCTTTCTAAAAATCTGTCAGTGAAAAGGAGATTATAAGGAAAACCATAGATATGGACCAAAAAATATTTTTTGATTTCTAAAAGCATTGATTGGTATAAGGTTTTAAGATCCAGGTTGCTTTTAAGGCTTTCCTGGAAATTTCCTATAAATCAGGAAGAAAGGAAAGAAAAATGATAATTCCAAAGTTATGTAAGGCTACCGGAGAATATTCACAAATATGATAATTTAAGTTTCAAAAATAAGTTAGTCTTACATTTTGCATGGCCAAGTCTACTGAATAACTGATGATTAACATCTGTAAGCCAATCCTCTAAAACAGAGATCCCCAGTCCCTGAGCCACAGACCTGGTACCAGTCCATGGCCTGTTAGGAACTGGGCCACAGAGCAGGAGGTAAGCAGTGGGCAATGGAGTGAAGCTTCATCTGTATTTCCAGCCGCTCCTCATCACTCACATTACTGCCTGAGCTCCAGCTCCTGTCAGATCAGCAGTGGCATTAGATTCTCACAGGAGAGGGAACCCTATTGTAAACTGCACATGTGAGGAATCTAGATTGCATGCTCCTTATGAGAATCCAGTGCCTGATGAACTGTCACTGTCTCCCATTACCCCTAGATAGGACTATCTAGTTGCAGAAAAACAAGGTCAGGATTCCCACTGATTCTATATTATGGCGAGTTGTATAATTATTCCATTATATGTTATACTTACAATGTAATAATAATAGAAAGAAAGCGCACAATAAATGTGATGCATTTGAATCATCCCCAAACCATCTCCCCCTACCTTCACCACCCTGCTGTCCATGGAAAAATTGTCTTCCACAAAACTGATTCATGGTGTCAAAAAGGTTGGGGACATCTGCTCTAAAATGAAAGGATTCATTTGGATAAAATTGTATTAGATGTACTGAATATTTTCTTGACTTCTTAAATCGAATGTACTACTGCTTCTATGTTATATGTCTCCATCTGCTCTGTTTTTATATATATATTTTTTAATTTTATTATTATACTTTAAGTTTTAGGGTACATGTGCACAATGTGCAGGTTAGTTACATATGTATACATGTGCCATGCTAGTGTGCTGCACCCATTAACTCGTCATTTAGCATTAGGTATATCTCCCAATGCTATCCCTCCCCACTCCCCCCACCCCACAACAGTCCCCGGAGTGTGATGTTCCCCTTCCTGTGTCCATGTGTTCTCATTGTTCAGTTCCCACCTATGAGTGAGAACATGCTGTGTTTGGTTTTTTGTCCTTGCGATAGTTTGCTGAGAATGATGGTTTCCAGCTTCATCCATGTACCTACAAAAGACATGAACTCATCATTTTTTATGGCTGCATAGTATTCCATGGTGTATATGTGCCACATTTTCTTAATCCAGTCTATCATTGTTGGACATTTGGGTTGGTTCCAAGACTTTGCTATTGTGAATAGTGCCACAATAAACATACGTGTTCATGTGTCTTTATAGCAGCATGATTTATAATCCTTTGGGTATATAGCCAGTAACGGGATGGCTGGGTCAAATGGTATTTCTAGTTCTAGATCCCTGAGGAATCGCCACACTGACTTCCACAATGGTTGAGCTAGTTTACAGTCCCACCAAAAGTGTAAAAGTGTTCCTATTTCTCCACATCCTCTCCAGCACCTGTTGTTTCCTGACTTTTGAATGATTGCCATTCTAACTGGTGTGAGATGGTATCTCATTGTGGTTTTGATTTGCATTTCTCTGATGGCCAGTGATGGTGAGCATTTTTTCATGTGTCTTTTGGCTGCATAAATGTCTTCTTTTGAGAAGTGTCTGTTCATGTCCTTCGCCCACTTTTTGATGGGGTTGTTTGTTTTTTTCTTGTAAATTTGTTTGAGTTCATTGTAGATTCTGGATATTAGCCCTTTGTCAGATGAGTAGGTTGTGAAAATTTTCTCCCATTCTGTAGGTTGCCTGTTCACTCTGATGGTAGTTTCTTTTGCTGTGCAGAAGCTCTTTAGTTTAATTAGATCCCATTTGTCAATTTTGGCTTTTGTTGCCATTGCTTTTGGTGTTTTAGACATGAAGTCCTTGCCCATGCCTATGTCCTGAATGGTAATGCCTAGGTTTTCTTCTAGGGTTGTTATGGTTTTAGGTCTAATGTTTAAGTCTTTAATCCATCTTGAATTAATTTTTGTATAAGGTGTAAGGGAAGTGATCCAGTTTCAGCTTTGTACATATGGCTAGCCAGTTTTCCCAGCACCAGTTATTAAACAGGGAATCCTTTCCCCATTGCTTGTTTTTCTCAGGTTTGTCGAAGATCAGATAGTTGTAGATATGCGGCGTTATTTCTGAGGGCTCTGTTCTGTTCCGTTGATCTATATCTCTGTTTTGGTACTAGTACCATGCTGTTTTGCTTACTGTAGCCTTGTAGTATAGTTTGAAGTCAGGTAGCGTGATGCCTCCAGCTTTGTTCTTTTGGCTTAGGATTGACTTGGCGATGCAGGCTCTTTTTTGGTTCCATATGAAGTTTAAAGTAGTTTTTTCCAATTCTGTGAAGAAAGTCATTGGTAGCTTGATGGGGATGGCACTGAATCTATAAATTACCTTGGGCAGTATGGCCATTTTCATGATATTGATTCTTCCTACCCATGAGCATGGAATGTTCTTCCACTTCTTTGTATCCTCTTTTATTTCATTGAGCAGTGGTTTGTAGTTCTCCTTGAAGAGGTCCTTCACGTCCCTTGTGAGTTGGATTCCTAGGTATTTTATTCTCTTTGAAGCAATTGTGAATGAGAGTTCACTCATGATTTGGCTCTCTGTTTGTCTGTTGTTGGTGTATAAGAATGCTTTTGATTTTTGTACATTGATTTTGTATCCTGAGACTTTGCTGAAGTTGCTTATCAGTTTAAGGAGATTTTGGGCTGAGACAATGGGGTTTTCTACATATACGATCATGTCATCTGCAAACAGGGACAATTTGGCTTCCTCTTTTCCTAATTGAACACCCTTTATTTCCTTCTCCTGCCTAATTGCCCTGGCCAGAACTTCCAACACTATGTTGAATAGGAGTGGTGAGAGAGGGCATCCCTGTCTTGTGCCACTTTTCAAAGGGAATGCTTCCAGTTTTTGCCCATTCAGTATGATATTGGCTGTGGGTTTGTTATAGATAGCTCTTATTATTTTGAGATACGTCCCATCAATACCTAATTTATTGAGAATTTTTAGCATGAAGGGTTGTTGAATTTTGTCAAAGGCCTTTTCTGCATCTATTGAGATAATCATGTGGTTTTTGTCTTTGGTTCTGTTTATATGCTGGATTACATTTATTGATTTGCATATATTGAACCAGCCTTGCATCCCAGGGATGAAGCCCACTTGATCATGGTGGATAAGCTTTTTGATGTGCTGCTGGATTCGGTTTGCCAGTATTTTACTGAGGATTTTTGCATCAGTGTTCATCAGGGATACTGGTCTAAAATTCTCTTTTTTGGTTGTGTCTCTGCCTGGCTTTGGTATCAGGATGATGCTGGCCTCATAAAACGAGTTAGGGAGGATTCCCTCTTTTTCTATTGATTGGAATAGTTTCAGAAGGAATGGTACCAGTTCCTCCTTGTACCTCTGGTAGAATTCGGCTGTGAATCCATCTGGTCCTGGACTCTTTTTCGTTTGTAAGCTATTGATTATTGCCACAATTTCAGATCCTGTTATTGGTCTATTCAGAGATTCAACTTCTTCCTGGTTTAGTCTTGGGAGGGTGTATGTGTCGAGGAATTTATCCATTTCTTCTAGATTTTCTAGTTTATTTGCATAGAGGTGTTTGTAGTATTCTCTGATGATAGTTTGTATTTCTGTGGGATCGGTGGTGATATCCCCTTTATCATTTTTTATTGTGTCCATTTGATTCTTCTCTCTTTTCTTCTTTATTAGTCTTGCTAGCGGTCTATCAATTTTGTTGATCCTTTCAAAAAACCAGCTCCTGGATTCATTAATTTTTTGAAGGGTTTTTTGTGTCTCTATTTCCTTCAGTTTTGCTCTGATTTTAGTTATTTCTTGCCTTCTGCTAGCTTTTGAATGTGTTTGCTCTTGCTTTTCTAGTTCTTTTAATTGTGATGTTAGGGTGTCAATTTTGGATCTTTCCTGCTTTCTCTCGTGGGCATTTAGTGCTATAAATTTCCCTCTACACACTGCTTTGAATGCGTCCCAGAGATTCTGGTATGTTGTGTCTTTGTTCTCGTTGGTTTCAAAGAACATCTTTATTTCTGCCTTCATTTCGTTATGTACCCAGTAGTCATTCAGGAGTAGGTTGTTCAGTTTCCATGTAGTTGAGCGGTTTTGAGTGAGTTTCTTAGTCCTGAGTTCTAGTTTGATTGCACTGTGGTCTGAGAGACAGTTTGTTATAATTTCTGTTCTTTTACATTTGCTGAGGAGAGCTTTACTTCCAACTATGTAGTCAATTTTGGAACAGGTGTGGTGTGGTGCTGAAAAAAATGTATATTGTGTTGATTTGGGGTGGAGAGTTCTGTAGATGTCTATTAGGTCCACTTGGTGCAGAGCTGAGTTCAATTCCTGGGTATCGTTGTTAACTTTCTGTCTCGTTGATCTGTCTAATGTTGACAGTGGGGTGTTAAGGTCTCCCATTATTATTGTGTGGGAGTCTAAGTCTCTTTGTTGGTCACTCAGCACCTGCTTTATGAATCTGGTTGCTCCTGTATTGGGTGCATATATATTTAGGATAGTTAGCTCTTCTTGTTGAATTGATCCCTTTACCATTATGTAATGGCCTTCTTTGTCTCTTTTTATCTTTGTTGGTTTAAAGTCTGTCCTGCGCCCGCTGTGTGGCACTCCCTAATGAGATGAACCCGGTACCTCAGATGGAAATGCAGAAATCACCCGTCTTCTGCATCGCTCACGCTGGGAGCTCTAGACCAGAGCTGTTCCTATTCGGCCATCTTGGCTGCCCTGTTTTTTTATATTTTTTAAACTTCATGATTCTTCTTTTAAAAGTGTTCCTCCCTTTCTCATTGCTACAACAAATTATTTTCATTATAAAAAGTGAGTCACTTTCTAATTTCCTTTTACAAGATATTATGTACTTCTAGATGTTAGAATGCTGTGTAACATAAAGGAAAAATGATGAGAAAGAGAAAGAGACTGAGACTTATTCTACTGAGTGAGTAATATTCATGTGTATTCCTTTTTGGTATCTTTTGCATTCTGCTTGAAAATTGGGTGTATGTTCCATTGTGTTTGTATTTTCAATGATTATAGTGTCTGGCACATGAAAGATCCTAAAAATACTTGCTGAGGAATTGTCATGAACAAAAGGCTAATTTTTTTGTCTTGGTTAGATAAGGTATTCCTTGTTTTCTCCTACCTATATAATTAAAGCACAAGCCCTATTTTGTTTCCAATAAAAAAATTATGCCAATTATACACTTAATTAGATAACATGAGGAAATTCCTTGACACGTATGTCTTAATCCACAGGTAGGGTAGGCTTTAAGAGAATGATAGAACGTAAACTTCATGAGGGTAGAGATTATTTCTTTATTTTTTTTCCTAGTGTAGCCTTACTCTGCCATTTGTTCTTGCTTGCTACACAATTAGTGAGGCATAAAATGGATGTTGGATAGGCAATCAAAATGCTCACTTACCTTCCTCACAAGGTTGTTGTAAGGATGGAAGGAAATCATGCATACAGAGAGCCTATGTAAGTGTCTTTGTGTAGCGAGCACTGTATACATGTTGATGACGATTATTGATATTCCCATCAGCAAATCTATACTTTTATCATTTTTAAAATATATTTAATGAAAATAAACAGTGGAGCAAAAAACAAACCCAAACTGGACTTCATGTTACATGATTTCAACTTGTAATGTTTTATTTTACATCTATCAAGGAGTTTAGTTGAGAGAATTGAAGAAAGGGAGTCATCTTGAAGACCTTGCTATTACAAGGGAAGAGAATAAAGATAAAGCAACAATGATGGGTGTACAGGAAGGAGAGTTTTGGATTTATGGAACTCTGATTTTTCTAAACAGATGTCCTCATCATGAAAGTTATTGTAGTCTCCACTTAACCAGATGGGATACCAAACTCCCTGTTGTGTTCAGAACTGGCAGGGCTCATTAAGTTGGCTTTAAACTGGGTATTAAGGGAGGATCTTTTGCTTAGCTCGAATAATCTCAACATGCACAATGGAGAGAAGAGGGAGTTCTACAAGCAGAGATAAAATATAAGATAAGTGATAAGTAATATTAACATACTGGACTTAATTGTCTATAAGTAACTACAAAGTAAATGGGAAATTAAAAAGATTAACTGGAAATGTTTCTATGTAATGGAGAATATGACCTAATGAGCACAACAAAAATAGAAAGGTAACATTTCCTTATTGGAATGTCAAAACTTATAGTTGAAATATACTCCATAGAGAAGACTGAGAGGAAATTAAACTTGAGGACAAAGCACTGTAGCATATGAGATACAAAAAGCAGAATAAGAATGCCTTGTCATTCAATAATGGTAATAGCAGGAAACACCTTTTGATTAGAGATATAAAAGTTGAAAATAAAAACCTGTGATTGGTATATGCTTAAATATAAATAATTGGAAGGTCAGTTCTTTTGTGTTTAAAAATACCTGGACCAGGGGGTGTTTCAGACATGTTAGTGTGAATATATAGTGGAAGGTCACTACTTATTTAGATATCAAATGAGGAATGTCAGTTGATAGACACAGAGCCATGAAATATTTATTGAGTTTGGTGTTGGTAATCATGAAGGTTATTTTTTAATTTGGAAATTTAAAAAACCCATAAAGATGCTAGACTTATTTTATGAAAGAAGATCTATTTTAGTTTATTGGACTTACTTTACTAAATGAGTTTTACAAGGGCATGTATAGTTAACAAATTTAATGAAGAAACAATGGGTGATTAGATACTACCTACCTGATCTCTGATAAGGAATAAACTAATTTATTAGCCTAGCTTTAATTTCCAGATATTGTGAGAAGCAGCAGATCTAGTACTATTTATGATTGGTATAAAATATCAAATATTCATAATGGCTACTTAATATATTGTAAGCACAGGTTTAAATTTCTCTATCTGTGATTGTAAATTAAGTAGATTATTAGTCTCTCTAAAACTCATTTTCCTAACCTACATATATACATATATATATATATATATATATATATATATATATATATACACACACACACACACACACACATAATGGGGATAATATTACTTACCTGGTTTTTTTGTTGTTGTTGTTATATAAGATAATGCTTTTATAACTTTAGTATAGTTTTGGGGACATAATGGGAACTAAATGAATGATAGCTAAAAAAATTTAATATCACAATTACCAAAATTAATTAAACCAAACTTTATTCTGGAAATTTGTAATTATAAAGAGAAAAATAAACAATAGTAGTTTGCATCTAAGCATACTGTTAGTCTTTGCCAATCTTAATTCATTAATGAAGCCAGTCTTTGGGAATGAATTTGCCTCCACCAAAGAAAAAGGGGAACTGAAGCTGAAGGAAGTTAAATCATTTGTCCCAAACCACAGATTAGTGAGAATTGTTCTGAAACAATATTTGGAAGTTTCTAAAGTATTAAGTTTGTAAACTTCTATGTCTTTTACAGATATTAAACAATCTTCTTTAAAAATATATCTAGGAGTTGAAGACAAAGGAATTATACTCTCTCAAGAGACAGAAAAAATATTTTAAACACTTAAATATATACGTTCCTTAACTAGTAACTTGAGGATGAAAGATTTTAATTTTCTTTAGCTTTGTCAAGATAAGGATCTTAATTGATTAACAATGGTTTTGGTAATGTGTGCCTGAAGCATCTTCTTATTTTAATTGTGGGCAAGGGTACCCTGGGAATACAATCTAGGAATGAAGTACACAGCAAAAGTATTAAAATTATAGCTTCTGGCTTTGGCGCTAAAGATAAACTAAATTGACTTGTTTCCTAACTCTTTTCTGTATTCAAGCTATAATTTACTGAGTGCCTATGATAGGCAGGTACCGTGGTAGCCTTTGGGTACATATTGATGAGCCCAGTAGTTCAAGACTTCCAGGGATCAATTCAATTTCCTCTTTTGAAACATTCTAAAATTACTCTCTCAAATGTAGTCCTTTCTCCAATATTCTTCTCCCTTTCTTTCCTACCAGATCTAAACATACCCAACTCATATCTTCTATACAGGCACACATATAAGAAAGTTACCTTGCAAAATCCTCGGCATAAAATGGTTCCATTTTATTATTTCTTCAAATGTACCCAAATTATAATCTAACTTCTTAGCTTGACACACAAGTCTTTCCAGAAACTTTCCCATTACCTCTCCAGTCTAATACTCCTCTCCTCCACACATCACTCTTACGTTCTAATGACACTGAACTTCTCACGACTCAATTGACATGTGATGCATGTTCATACCTTTAAGCTTTTGCTCCTATTTCCTGTCTTCACAATATGACACTTTCCTACTGTCTACAATGCATTCCTGAAATATTTGTAAAATATGAAATTTGAATAACTGGTTTCAATTTGAAATTAAAATTGGCTTCTTTGTCACTCCTGATGATTTCCAACTTTGCCTATCTTAGAACAATTATATGATAATAGGCTTCTTATCCTGGCACTTTTATTTTTTTTCCATTTTAAAACTTATTTTTATAAGAAAGTAAAGGTAATTTACAATTAAATAGCAAAATAATTTATCAAACTCTGTTGAACAGATAATGATGATAAGATTACCCAAATGGAATGGTTGAGTGGCCTGCTGACCACTGATAGACTTGGTGATTCATTAAGTGGTTCTTTTGGACACTTAATGGCAATCTCAGGTTATCAGAATAAAATGAACAAAAAGTGAAATTGTTGCAAAAGTTGAATGAATTAAAATTGAGCACAGCCTCCATTGATAAAAACAACATTCATTTATATTATGTATTGGAGATTTTGTCAGGGACGTGATACATCTATGTAGTCAACCCAACAATGAGGTAGTTAACCGTAAGGATACATTTTAAAGAGGAGTAAGCTGATAGTGACCTAAGTCACAGAGTTATTTAGTGGCACAGTGAGGATGAAAATCCTGATCTTTTTTGTTCAAAAACAATTTGGAACTATTTCCTTCCTTACTGTTGTTGTTGTTTTTCTCCTGTGCCTATTCAGCCAGTTATCATAGTTACCATATTATTTAGTTTTTGTTGGTTACTAGACAAGCACTAGAGTCTAGACGCTTCCAGAGTAGGGTCTGAATCTAAAGAAATTTGATATCCCCAAAGCCTTGCAGAGTTCATACACCTAGAACTGTAGTAGCGATTGTTGAATATAAAAATGAATGGGTGAAGGAATTAAATACATATACATATGCATAAAATAAGGAGTGTTATATATAGAGCCAGAAGGCTGTTTTTGTTCTTCATATACATGTACATATACATATTCATATACATATAGTTTATAAATATAGATATTTTCCTTATATATATGTATTTTATTATTTATTTATTTATTGGAGACAGGGTCTCACTCTGTTGCCCAGGCTGAAGACTGGTGGCATGGTCATAGCTCACTGCAACCTAGAACTCCTGGGCTCAAGTGATTCTCTGGCCTCAGCTTCCTGAGTTGCTGGGATTACAGGCATGAGCCACTGCACCTGGCATGTTCTGTTTTTTCACTAATTTATAGACATTTCGTATAGAACTAACTTGGAATACTTTTCTATTATCTTTCTGTAAGAAATATAAACCTAATTCTGCAGGTAATATTAAATAGGGAAGCATCTGTCCTCTTGCTTCACAAAAAGCAATAACTTATAAAAAGGAATGGGATGATGAGAAGATATGGTTAGATTGTCAGACTAAAGGTGTCTCTTATCTCAGCATTCTCTCTGTTACTAATGGTACCAGGGAATATTTTGAGGAAAGCAGAGATTTTCCTCTCCCAATTGTTGATTTCAAAGGGTAGAATAACATTTCCAAATTCCATTTCTAAATCTATTCTGTATATCTAACCTTTGAATTTCTAAAGCCCTCTTAAAACCCATGAATATTTAGCATCTGCAATCACACCACAAAATACAGATTCGCTGTTTACCTCCCAATATTTCATGTACTTGTGTTACGATCACAGAAAGCCAAGCCCTTCTAAGGTTCTCCCTTTTCTTGCTATTCAGGAATATGTTACTCAAGTTAGTTTTTATCTTTCTCATTTCCTCCATGTGTTTAAAGCCATATGTGAGATTTCTAATTTTATGTATTCAATTTCTATTATTTTAATTATCTTTTTTTGAGATGGAGTCTTGTTCTGGCACCAGGCTGGAGTGCAGTGACATGATCTCCATTCACTGCAACCTTTGCCTTCCTGGTTCAAGTGATTCTCCTGCCTCAGCCTCCCAAGTAGCTGGGACTACAGGCGCACGCCACCACACCCAGCTAATTTTTGTATTTTTAGTAGAGACGTGGTTTCACCATCTTGGCCAGGATGGTCTTGACCTCATGATCCACCCGCCTTGGCCTCCCAAAGTGCTGGGATTACAGGCGTGAGCCACTGGGCCCGGCCCGATTGTCTTTTTTTTTTTTTTTTTTTTTTTTTAAATCCCCTGTCTTCCTTGAAGAGAAGTGGCAAAAGGTTCATGAAGTATTCTAGGCCATTGGTTTTTTAAATGTTTCTTAGGTTCATTTTGAGGCTTGAATATATCTATCCATACTATGATTTACTTAGTATTGTTCTTTGAATTACAGTAGGGCCTGTGGTATAAGAAGGACAAAATAGGGCTATGTTTTTTTGTTTTATTTTGTTTGTATAGCAAAGCACCAACCACTTATAGTATGCACCTGCCTTTCTTGGACAAATCAGGACAGTAGAAGACCCAAAGAAAATCTTTCCTACTTGACAGCTACTATTGCCATGCTCACTAATGTCTCTTTTGGACACATTGCTGCCACAAAATTGTGCTAAAGCAAGCATGATTTTGGATTATTTTTATTTCTGGCATGTTAGTCATCTGGCCCTTTTAATCATTTCTGAAGTTTTGGTCAAGCACAACACAAGAATTGCCATTGTTAACAATTTTATGAACATTTTTCTTTAAGTTCTAGCCAAATCTAGATTCAATTATCTTTGTCTCCTTCAAAGAATAAGAAGTATTTTATGTAGACATATTTTTATAGATAAAAACGTACTGGTCAAAGGAACAAAATAGAAAGTCCACAAACATATGTAAAACTACATGCAATTTTAGAGGGTGAAGAAAATAGCACATCAAAATTTGGAAAGACGTATTAACTATTTAATAAATAATATTGAGACAACAGGCTATTACTTAAAAATAAATTTATAGCTGTAATTCTTTTAAAAAGCCAAAATTAATGTTAATTAGATTAAGATTTAAGTGCATAAAATACAACCATAGAATATGAGATGAAAATATACCTCATTACAATGGAAGAAGAGTGTCTAAGCATGGCACATACAACCTTAGTCATAAAGAAAAACATTAATAAATTTGCCTAAATAAAATTTAACTATTAATTTTAATGAGACATAAATATCATGAACTATAAACTAATGATAGCACATGTAATAGAAAAGGGTTAATATTCTTTCCCTTAGGGTGCTTTTACCTAATTAATTAGTGGAAAAATAAGCAAAAAACACAAAAAGGAATATCATAAATGAAAAAATATAAACAGAAAATTTAAAAAGTTAAACTAGATTAGTATTCAAAAAATGCAAATAGAAGTATCACCAAGACATCATTTTTGAGTATTAAATTCAGAATAATATATTCTTAAGAAAAAACCCCTAATCTCCAATTAAATTTTTGTATATGTAAAGTGGAGAGCAAGGTTATTTTTTTCTTATGACTATCCTACGGCTTCAGCATGATTTATTGAAAAGGTAAAACCAAAAACATATCCTTTTTCTTTAAATGGTGTTGATGTCTTTGCCACAAATCAAGTGAATATATATATGCCAGTCTATGTTTTAGTTCCTTGTTCTATTTCTTTGGTCTATTTGTCTGTCTTTATGACAATATCATACTTCCATAGTTACTATAAGTTTATAACAACTCCTAAAGTGTTACAGTTTGTTCTTAAAGATTGTTTTGTCTATTTCAAGTCCTTGGCATTTCCAAATAAATTTTAAAATCAGATTATCTCTTTTAACAAAAATGCCTATTATTTTAATTTTGATTTTATTGAATCTAAATCAATAAATCTAGATTAATGTTGGAAAATAAATATATTAAAATAATAGAACCTTCCAATCCATGAAAATGGTATAATTCTTCACTTATTTAAATCATCTTTATCAAATCAGTATTTTCTAATTTTTAGTGTAAAGGCTTCCAAATTCTTCTTTAGATTTATTTGTATTTGATATTTTTGAGACTTTTGTAATTGGCATTGTCTTTTTAATTTCAATTTTAATTTCCTTCTCGTTAGTATATAAAAATTCTACTGATTTTTCTGCATTGACCTTATATCCAGACCTTGCTAAAAAACACATATTATTATAATATGCTTATAAATTATTTAACTCTATATAATTATGTACTTTTAATTGAAATTTATAACTTTTCCATCAAAACACAGCACTAAAATAATGAACAGGCAAGCCATAAACTGAGACTATATATATATATATATATATATATATATATATACACACACACATCATATATGTATGTGATATGTATGTAACATATATAACTGAGAATATATATATGTGCTCTAGGGTCACACAGCTAGTAATTGGCAGAGTTAACAAATGAACCCAGATTTGTCTGAGCTGGAGATTTTAACTAGCATGATATAATTTTGAGATGAAATGATGTGTGTGTATATATATATATATATCACAAAAGTCCTATATCCATATTAAAGAACTCTTACAAGTCAATAAGAAAATGACAACCCAAACATGGGCAAAACATTTGACTAAGTAATTCATAAAAAGCTTTTAAATGTGGATGATAAGCATATTTTCAAAAGTGCTATAAAATTACTCATCAGAGAAATGCAAATTAGGACCACTATGAGATATACAATCATGAAAATGGTAAAATAACTAAAGGACTGATGATATCAAATGTCGATGAAGATATAGGACAGCTAGGACTCTCAAACGTTGCTGATGAGAATATACATTGTTTTAAACATTTCGAAAACTGCATCTGTCAAAGCAGAATGTATGCCCACTCTAATGAAACAGGAATTTTACTCATAGATGAAGTCCCAGAAGAAATGAGGGCATAGGCCCACCAAGTGAATATATAAACATTTACATTGTTGACAGCAGCTTTATTCATAACACCCCTACATTGGGAACAACACAAATGTGCAAACATATGGGAATATACAAAGAAATTGAGGTATGTTCATACAGTAGAGTATTATGCAACATTAGAAAAGAAGAAACAAGAAACTGCTGATACACAACTGGCTGGATCTCCAAAACATTGTGTTGAGCAAAAGATAGAACACACAAAAGCAAACATGCTGCATGATTCTATTTATTTTAAGGTCAAGATGAGGCAAAAAATATTCTCATAGGTTAGAAGTCAGATACAATTTATCTCTGATATGGGAGGTTATTAACTAGGAAGAGGCAAGAAGCATCCTTCTGGAGTGATGGAGGTGTTCTCTATATCGATCCAGGTGATGGTTATACAGAGGTATACATACATAAAAATTCATCATGCCATACTGCTAGGATTTTGCAATTTACATTGTATAGGTTGCACCTTAATTTAGAAAATTGATAATATGGAAATGGAAATTTTATATAATGCTGATTTAAATGCTTAGTATAATGTTGGTATCGTTTTTCAAAATATAATAAAACATTTTTTAATGCCTCTACTCTCTGATCAAGGAAATTTTGTTCCAAGTAACTGATTCTAAGGAAAGAATCCGACAAATGGCAAAAATGTGTGTATAAAATAATGGCATTCCTTATGATAGTGATGAAACCAAGACAGAAAATCCCTAAATGTCTAAGATTTGGAAACTGGAAAATCATGGTTTATGTGCACTAGCCACCAAATGAACCCCTAGCTAGGCAATTACAATGATGACAGAAGGAATTTTTTAATTAATATTTTTGGAGTGAATATTAATTGATATGTATTTGTACCACATTTGCCAAGTATTTATATATCAAGATGGCTTATTCTAGTTAACGTTTATTAGAAACTGATAGGTAAGGGTTACTAATACTCCCTCTGTTTTTTTTTTTGTTTGTTTGTTTGTTTTAGTGTTTTTTTTTTATTATACTTTAAGTTTTAGGGTACATGTGCACATTGTGCAGGTTAGTTACATATGTATACATGTGCCGTGCTGGTGCGCTGCACCCACTAACTCGTCATCTAGCATTAGGTATATCTCCCAATGCTATCCCTCCCCCCTCCCCCCACCCCACCACAGTCCCCAGAGTGTGATATTCCCCTTCCTGTGTCCATGTGATCTCATTGTTCAATTCCCACCTATGAGTGAGAATATGCGGTGTTTGGTTTTTTTTAACAGATGAAAAAAATGGAGGCTTAGTAGCTTGCTTTAGGGTCACACAGCTAGTAACTGGCAGAGTTAACAACTGAACTCAGATTTGCGTGAATCCAGAGCTGGAGTTTTTAACTAGGGTGATGTAATTTTGACATGAAATGATGTTCATAATCTATGGTTAAATGAATAAGTGACTAGCCAAACTGTAAGTCTCAGAGTATGATTTTATATTTGTAAAAAATATGTACACATAGACACACATGTGTGCTTGTAAAGCAAAATCCTATGATAAAACTCCTGTGACTGGCAGTTGATTACCAGACCCTCTGCTCCCCTGTTCAGATAACTAACTATGCAGGTTTTATTTCATCTTTTCATTAATCTCACAATAAAATTTATTTATGTTTATATAACTGAACATTCTAGACCTCATTTGTAGCATATGGCCAGGTTTTATTCATATATATATATATATATGAATGATATGTGATAAACATATATATGTTAACATATATATAGCAGCAGTTTGTTTCTTCTTTTAAACATATATATGTTAATAAATATATATACTGTATGTGTGTGTATATATATGATATGTAATAAATCTGCTTGGCAAAGCAAATGCCAACTGCTGACTCTGCTTCTTTCCTGGCGTTGGGATTACTGATAATTTAAAATATACACTTGTTCAGCTGATTTACATTTTTTTACTTGTTCTAAACTGGATGTATAAAATTGATGCAATTAACAAAAAAGGCCCACAGGAGAGATGAAAATGTGTTTTAATACAAGGCTACCCTGTCTTTTAATTCATGCTCTATCATCACCCGACTGAATGAATTGGGCTTTACACTGAACAATAAATGTTAATGTTTATTGAAAGTATAATTTGTACCGGGTACCTTATAAATGCCTATGAATATATTTTTCCAGTGAATCCTTTCCACAACCCTATGAGGTAAACACTATTATTATCCCTATTTGATGTCTGAGGAAACTGAAGTACAGAGAGGTTAAGTACTTTGCACTAGTCTACACAGTATGATTTGAGCTCAGAGAGTCTGACTGTGGGGACTTGCTCTAGACCCCTGAGCTGAACCTCCCCTGTAAGTGTAACACTAGGGGCTTCATCTCCTCAACTACAAAATGCAGGGCCAAAATAGTTCATTTTAAAGGCACCTACACATTCAAACATTCTGTGATCTTTAACCCTATGAATATTTTTACCGAAAATATGTTTTCTGCAATAAATCAGTTATTTTTTTTCAGCACCTACTATGTGCCAAACTCAGTAGTAGCTTTTTCTTTGTTTTACTCAATATCAATTTTATTTTCCACTTGAATGGAGTGACCTGGGTGCCTTGGATATGAAATGAGGGCATATCAATCTGTGTATACGTGGCAGTTGAGCCCAAGCAAAACGTTTTGATTATTTAATAAATTATAACTTGAAAAGAGGGTCTGACAGTTACTTTTGTACCTTTCCTGACACATAATCTAATTCTTAAGTCAGTGGTTTAATATAATTTTCTTAGTTGCTAGCTTGATTCAGAATAGGCTTCAAGCATAAAATCACACAAAGCTTTTGTTTTGCAAAGCTCTTTCACAAATCACCCTGGTTTCATGCCCTAATTAATCAGCGTTCATGGGGGAATGAGAGGTTATTTGCTTTTCAGCTTCTGCAGATATACTAATAGCATAGCAGGAGAATTCTGAAATAGCATGGGTTATTTCTCATATTTGAAGCAGTTTCCCATGGATTCTTATATAATTATCTAGAAAATGTGAAACATTGTCTCTACTGGAATTATATCTCATGCTGACAGGGACTCCCAAGATTGCAAAAATCTACCCGTTACTAGGTCTTTTGAGCATAATATTATTCCAATATGTTAAATTGAACGTATCATGGTATTTAGAAATCCCTCAATAGTCCCTGACCCTTATAATTCAGAGAAAAATGTAACCATTTCTTTTTCTCAATTAAATCACTTTTAAAACATGCAGTAAAGCATTTTTCATTGACAGAAATAAAAATAGTGTGCGATTTTCCAATTTAGTAGAATAGTTTAACAGGATATTGAAATCCAGTAAGGTTTGGCTAACAATCAAGTTTAAAGAGAAGCATTACTTATTTCCTTATGTGTTATCATTAGCCCCATAAAATTGGCTTATTGAGCAGAGTTTCAAATCAAAATTTTACAACATCACCCTTGGTACACTGGGGCCTTATGTGTAAAGGATATGTTCATTCATTATCCAGAATTTCTTTTTAAAGGTGAGGCAGTTGTAGGATTGAAGCCATTGTTTTTTTCTACTGGGAGACAATTTTTATTGCAACAGGTTCTCTGGGTCAAAATAACTGCTATTGCTATGAAATTGCTTTAGAACAGAAAATCTATGACAGATATGATAAAGTAAATATACTTTATATCATTTCATTTTAAAATATGAAAACATAACAGATTTTTATATTTTAGGATCCTGGATGCTTTTGCTTCTAGGTTTTGAGAACAGTTCTGTTTATCAATGTAAAATTATTTACATAATTACAGATCAAACCAATCAGTTACTACCTTGTAAGGCTAAAGGTTATGTCTAGCATAAGCAAGTAGCTCAGATGCTGCTCTGCTGTTAATACCTATTCACTCTAGGGCTGCCGCCCTATTCCCAGGGCTGATTGCCCTCTGTCCTGTGGCTTCAAGTAATGTAAATTGTATCTTGTCCCTGGGTAATCGAGATCAGTGTTTTCTTGTCTGTCCACTCCCTGCCGATGCCCTCTCTGTGCTGCGATAATGGTTTTGGTGGGCAATCAAGGAGGATGCCTTCTTGACTCATCTCTCATAATAGATTGTCCTCCTCAGGCAAAATTGAATAACCCCCGACATGGCCTGGAGGCAGGCAATGAGAATTCAATAAGTCTGCAGGGTCAATGTCCTGTCATTTTTGGCAAGCAAGTAATTATTCTGCACTAACATTCAGTAATAGGAGAAGGAAACTGCTGTAGACACCTTCATCTTGATGCCCAGAAAAGTCACCTTAACAGGATTTTTCCTCTAATCGGCAATAATTCCTTCTCCTCTTCTGATGTGATTTGGTCCACTTTTTCATGTGAGTTGCATGTGTGGATTTTCTAGACTTTTTTTTTTAAACCTGCAGTATCTGTGGGAAAGTTTAACAACTTCACTGCCTGTTTAATATTTTCCACTTTTATGGGCTGCAGTTGTGCTGTCTATTTGCTTTTACTGATTTGTGAAAGATTTATTATAAACCAAATACAGCTGTTCTTCTCTTTCATAAACTCAAACTATTTTGGCAAACCTGTTTTCCACTAGGAAAATACATTCAATATTATTTCCCTTACCAGCTTTCCTACCATAAGCATTCAGCTGTGCTTAGCGGTGCAGGGTAGGTCCCAGCGTGGTTGTGGATTCACTTAAAGAAATGAGAATGCATTCAAAATAAACAGGCGGAAGAGAAGAAATGCCTTTTTTTTTTTTTTTGGCCTCCTGGTGGGATTCAGTGTTATCATGCACCAATCACAAGAGGGCAGAATTTTAATATCCCCCCCAAATAAACCATCTGCAAATGCAAGCCACTGAAGTGTTCTGCTTTTGCATTTACATTTATGAAAAACACACGTGTAATTTAACTATGTAACCTTTACCTGAAACTAATATTATGATTAACCTTTTAATATTCTTAAAATAAGACTGCCATGTACCATGACTCCCTTCACCATATATCCGAACACATAAATATCCTTGTATTTATATTTAAAGAAACATATTCACTTAAATTAATCAGTTTCAACCATTCAGATTTAGATCTCTGACTTACGACATTTATTTAAAGAAATGTTGAATTACCAGTTTCGAAGAAAGCAAAGTTTAGTACCATTTTAGTTATTTCTATGGCCACCTCTTAAAAAGCGATCTTTTAAAAATGCAAACAGCAAAAACAAAAACAATTAGAAAACAAAAGTGATTTCTAAACCCAATCTAAGTTGCTTTTCTCTCCATTTCTCTCTGTGTAGAAACTATTGCTTTATTCATTGGAAGGTACCTTTATCTTCTCTCTCCTGAGATCAGTGTGCACAGCAAATAATGAAGAGGCTCGTATAAGAGCAGAATAAGCACTTTCCATGACTGATTGACGATTGATTATTGCTGGGATGTCTCCCCACGGTCACTCATCACTACGCTTTTCTGACAACCAAGCCCTATTTCCGACATGAAAAAGGTGTTTTGATCTGCATCAATTTGGCTTGTTAACTGTGACAAAACTCAAACTGATACCGATCATGTTCAGTTGTCGATGTTGATTTGGGTCTTGGATGTAGAAACAGTTCATAATCATATTAATACACTTTATTTTTATTTGAGAATACCGTAATATTGAGATATATAATAATACTGTTCTTGGAACATTTTTTATTATCTTCAAACGTTCAGGATTTTGTTCACTATAACAAGCTTTTGGCACTATTTTATCTTATCGTTGCTTCTCTCAATTTATTTTAAACAGTCTGCTTTAGAATTTCTAACCATTTTTATATGACTATAGCCAAACCTTTCACCATATAATATTGGAGAGAAAACTATAGTTGCTTCTCACGCAAACTACTGCAAAATAAAATTTATTTAGAAGAGTTGTTTTGCATTAAGTAGAGTCGTGTCCTAGAAGTAAAGCACAGCAGAGAGAATATATTTTAAAGACTGTCTTAAGGAAGAGATAACACTGGGAAATCCCTGTTCTTTTTTTCCTCCCAAGTACTTTGGGTTCAAAGAGTGAAATACATTCTTGCCAATTAATTACTCTCCCCCACATTTTAATACCAAGATTTATTTAAAATGAATATATCCTAAACATTTATCAAAATTCTTATTATAAAATAATATTTGCTACTAAGAAGCTAGTCTAATAACTTGTATTTAAGTGTATTTAACTATCATTATTTTTGTTTTGTACTGAGAAATTAGAGTTAGAAAATGGAAATTTTATTTTTCAAATTAAATTTGGCTTCAAACTTAAAATTGAAGTAATAATCTTTCTTCCTTTTGCATTCTCATTTCCCCTTTCTTCCAAGAGCTTTTAAGACCTGTATTTACGCTCACACAACAGAGCAAGTACAATAAATCCAATGAGCCATTTTCGTTGTGTTTCTTGATGTAGTCCTTGAAAATGACCATGAGACCTTAGCTACTACTCTTCTTAAAGTGAGAATAAAGTTGTCTGGTAAAAACTACAGCATACTATTTTGAGGCTTGCATCATTAATTCTCTTCTCCCCCTTCCCGTACTATTTAAAATTTCTTGATTCAAATAATCAAGCATTGTATTACATTTACTAAAATATATTGAATTTATTTTTCCTTTAGTTTGTCATACTGAAGCTACTCCAAAAATTAATATTTTAATCTAAGTGATTATACAGAATTCCTTTCTGATGTTATGGCTGTTTTTTGAGTTTATGAGGTTCTAAAATGTAGAAATAAAAACTAATACCTAAATATCTCCTTATCACTGAAGAGGAAAAATCTGGGCAAACACAGATTTTTTCATTGACATCTGAGAAGTTGCCTAATTAGGAGGTCTCCTCATTCCACCTTTCACAAGTGTGCTCTTATGTCAGTGAAACCAGTGATCTCAGTGTTGCTCTGCATTCGTTCTTGGGAAGAGTGCAGAAAAGACACTGCACACTACTATTTCCAAGTTTTGAGAAGACTTTCTCTCAGTGATGAGCTGCTCTCTGATTCGTCTTTTCTTGGCATGCCTCTAAATCAGCACCCGCAGTTTCAGTGGGCCCCACCTCCCAGGGCGCTGGCACTTTGGGCCACATGCTGGCCCAGGCCCTGTTGTCAGAGGTCGACTATCCCCAGCCTCATCCTTCACCTTTGGATCCAATGTCTCTGTGAATTGCAAAGAGAAAGAAGCTGGGGAGACTTGATGTGGGGAAAAAGGAGACCAGAGAATTTGAAAGTGAGAAAAAAGGAAGCTGTATATTTAGAATCTCAACCTGCCTTGCCCTGCCTCAAAATGTTTTTCAATGATCATATGCTTACTAGCTAGTGAGTAGGTTATGATCATGTCATGATGTGCATATGGCTTTCTTTTTCTCAAACTTTTTGTTTGTTTGTTTTAGATTTTCTCTCTGTTTGTTTCATCTCACTTTCCAAGCTTACCTTATATAAAGTATCAAAAAAGAATGACAGAGCTTTTAATCAGAAACACTGCCACAGAGGCAAAGGAAAGGCCCTTTAGGAGACCGTGTTAGAGAGGATGCCATCACCTTACACTGGTTTAAAATAGATAGGTGGAGAACTCAAACACTGGAGCCAGATTGCCTGGGATCAAACCCCGACTCTGTCACTTACATGTTATGTTTTCTTATACCCCTTGTATAATATCTCTGTGCCTCTATTTGCTCATCTGTGAAGTGAGGATATTAATAAAAATCAACTCCTAAAATTGTTGAGAGGATTGAATAAGGTAAAATAGTTGATACTGTTAGAACAGTGTTGTTACTGTTATATGTAAGTCTCACATATGTTATTATTTGGGTAGAAGTTGACACTTTACAAAGCAATTTCTCAAATATTTTCCTTTGGACTGTCTTAAGTTCATAGATCTAGTTTAGGAGGCAAAACTAAGAAAGTGAATGACTTGACCAAAATCACGTGACATACAAACCCTGAAGAACCTAATACAGGTCTGCTTTTAAGCCCGTTTTTTTCCCTTGGACAATATTTGTCTGTTTTTGGAGATTGATTATGTTTGCTATGGTGTCATTAAATGTGAAAGAAATGAAAGGCTAAATGTGGAGTGGATAATGTGAAGAGAGAAGAAATAACACTCACTAGGTGTTGATAAGGGAAAAATGTGAGCTTTACAGTTTCAGAATATACGTATTCATGTGATTAATCAGGAAATATCTATGCACCTATTGTTAGAGATTGTGGATATGAAAATAGACAATGTACTGTAAATTAAATTCAGAGAGTTCAGTGGAGAAGAGGGACAAGTAAACTTATTGCAGCATAGTGTAACAGAGGCACACATGAGTATTATAAAAGCACAAAGTAGTGGCTCCTGACCTAGCCTGGAGGATGTGAGAAAATCGGGGAAGATTATATAGAGGATTTGCGGCAGAGTAGCTAATAATCTGGTTCATAGTTTAAAAAGATCGTTGTGATTTTTGTGTTAAAACTGTAGTGTACAGAGCAAGACTGGAAGCAGAAAAACCAAGTTGGAGGTTATTGTAATAGTTCTGGCAAGATATATAATGGAAGCTTGACTATGTCTATGATTGGAGGAAGAGACCTAGTATAAAAGCCTGAAATAAGTGGGTATTTTATCATGCATATAAATTAAGAATTTGGGCATGCACACGGGTTCTCTATGATGAGAGAGAAGGAAAGGGTAGATAAAAATGCTGAGAAAATTGAGAGAATGATCACATCAACTGATGTTTTGCTAATTTATAAAACCTAAACATGAGGTTCATGTCATGCTGTCATAACAGCCACTCAGTATATTACCTTTGCAAACATTAAGGTTCATTGGTGGGAATGATAGCTCTTTGATAATGTTTTGGTTGTGGTAACAGGCAACTTTGGCAAACAATGATTTATGACAGCTAAAACCATTGAGATGACTCACACTGAAATAGGACAGCTTAAAATAGAGACCTCATAGAGCAAAAAGCTGCCAGATATTCAAAAGGCCAAAAAAAAAAAAAAAAACCACACAAAAAATCCCAAGTTTGAAATAGAAACTAGACAACTGCATAGGCTATTTCTCTATATTATAAAGTATGATAAAAACCCACTACACATACATATAATGTATGTGAAAGGCACACAAACAACTAATTCAAATATGATACTGATTTGGGTGAAGGCCAGTTTACTACCGTCGTCTACTCTTTCATTAAGGCAGTGTATTCTGGAATAATTATATAATAATATAAATTTCTGATTAGTTGGGATGTTGTTTTTGAAAAAGGTCAACTTTAAAAAATGTTTCTGCTTAAGGTCCTTAACATCTTTTGTGATCATTCCTAATCTAACATCTGGGTTTTTGTCTGTCTGGTTTTTATTTAATGCTCTGTTTCTCTGTCTGTTCATCGTGCATTATCTACCTATGTCTTTGAATAGAGAAAACATGTTTTTAAGGAATATAAAACTGGAGACACATTTGATTTGAAAAAAAGTCACAACTTTGGGAACTAAAAGACTAGACATTTATGAGTACAGTATTGGGAAGCATTGTAGAACTATCAGCATGCAAAGATAATACATGTTAGGTAACTGATTGCTTATCAGATTACCAAAGCGGGAATTCCTAGAATTCTTGGCCATAAAACCCTTTCAGGAAGTGATAGTTTTTCTTTCACTTTCTTCGTACTAAGCTTTGAAAGCTAGGCATATCACTGCTTCCATTTTTAGAGCAAGATTCTTGACAGTACTTTTTATTTTGTTGTTTTGAGAGCCATTGACATTTCTTCCTTTGGTGTTCAAAGTAGGTTTACATAGAAGGTGGTGGCATTAGACCCTCCCTCTGTACCATCACCCTTTTTCTGTGTAGTAAACCTTGTGCTGCTGGGTTTGCTGGGTGGTATACAAGTACAGGGCCAGATAGAGCCAGGGACTAGATTCGGCTATACTTTCTACCACTCATGTCTGGTTTTCTGTGTGCAATAATAGGGTTTTTTACATACTATGAAGGAACACGTAGGACTGATTACTTTGGCACCAGAGAACAGTCCAGGGTGGCTACATCATTTTTTGGCTTATTTGGTATAAGTTTCTATAGTAGATTTCTAAATGGAAAACAGAGAGGACATTTTCCCATTCTGTGCTCAAGAAGCAGAAAGTCTGACTGAGAAAATCTGTAAGATGAAGTACAGTTTGTGATGAAAACATATAATAAGATGGTTGAAAAACCACACATTTGCTTTTGCATCTGTGGCAAAGGTTATCAGTTAAATATACACATGGCTAATTGAGATTTCCATGGTATAATGGATGGCTCTGAGCAGCTATCCTGGAAATGCATACTAGATTTGAAACAATAGCAACAAAGATATTTTAATGATAATATTACCTTCCTATATAAAAATAATACATTATCATTATATTTTGACTAATGCACTGGATCTGTCATGCCTCTTCTCCAAGACTGCTCATTCACAATTTCTACAAGGAGAGGTAAGAAGTTAACTTTTTCACATAAACTGTATAGGAAATAAAGAAAGGAAGGGAGAATTATAGAGGCAACATTACATTCCAATGTCTAGGACTGTATTCCCTCTTGTACATTCATTGTAATTATATACTGACCTTTGAGATCAGTGGCTGGTTACTTATGGGATAATATGATTAAAGTATACGTAACAAGTATGTTAAATTATTTTTAATGCAATTCTAGTGGAGAAGATCTGTGTAATTGCTAATTCCATTTCATTCTAGAGGCATCTGAGATAATGTCCCTTGGGTCCAAGCCTGTAAACTAGACTAAAGCGCTATCCACACAGAGGCCAGTTTGAATACTGTTACTTTTGTTTTACTGATGACTGGTTTGCATGGAAAGAGGAACTCGTAGCTAGTTAAAAATTCAAAGGGAACACATACACTTTTCAAGGAATACTTTGCGGCATGTATATAATTCTTTTATTTGTAAGTCACGTTTGGAGTAAACCTCGCTTTCCCCTTTCCTCCCTAAAACATGAGTTCTAGGGCATTTGAGTTGCCTTCTGTTTGATGTAACCCAACTTGTTCTTATTTTAATAGTTGGGTATTTTAATGGGTCCATTTCAAATGCCTTAATGGTATTTCTCGTGGGCTAAAACTTTGTTGCTGATGATCCTTTGAAAGGACATTGGACTTTATCTGCTGATAGAGATGGGGAAAACTGGTTGGGAGGAGGCTGTTGATGATGGAACTTAAACTTCAGGGAAATACCTCAGAAGGGATTGGATGAGCTGTGGGATCCAGAAAGAAAATGTTTGCCTCAGAGGCAGGGTATACATGTGGAAAAACCTGTGCTGGAGACATAGACAACAAGGACTGAAGCAGTGGTCACTCTGATGGTAGAGATTGCGGGAGGGAAAAAGAAACGTAAGAGGCTTATTACATCCCACAAAACTCAATGAATTACCAAAATCAAGTTAAATATTTATTCCTAGATCTTAAGAGAATGTTTAAAGTTCTATATTAATATAGCAATATCAGTATCTTAGATGGAATTGATGTTTGTATACCTGAAGCATATTATTAACAGATCATGATATTTTATCCATTGCTCAGTTGTTATAACAGATTGCCAGTTTATGTTGAAAATAGAATGTATTTTTATTTTCCTCCATGTCTAGTACTGCTTCAAATTAGCTGCCACGTATCTGTAAAACATTTTTGGCATTCAGCTTTTCCTAATCATTAATAACCATGATGTTCTTGAAGCATGTTCTCCATGTCTTCATTTAAGGTAAGAATTCCTGCTTTCTTCTGTAAATGCCTGGGCAGGTATCAGTGATTTCCTAAAGAGAATTTTTGGTAAGGGAATTGGCATATTTTTTTTTTTTTTTTGGAATTGGCCTTTTATACTACATTTCATTTCAGACATCTTTCTTAAAGAAGAAAGGTGTGTGTTAGCTTCAGGAGCTATAGATCTCTAAATGAAGGGTCAGATGCCCTGAGTTTAGGCAGAGTGGAAGATATACTTTTGCACTCATCCTCAAATATGTTAGGAGGAATATAGAGTACTGTTAAAAGCAAGTACTCGAGGCAGACTGGGTTTGGGTCCTGACTCTGACATTTACAAGTATGTAACCTTTGAAAATTGCTTTAGTTATCACTTCCTCAGTTTCCTCATCTGCAAATGTGAATAATGTCAGTAGCTACCCCAAATAGTTGAAAGATTAAGTAAGCTGATCTACACAAAGTGCTCACTTAGCACCTAACTCTTGCTGTCAAAGATCACAGTTACCAGGCTCACTGGGGCTTTTTGTTTAGTTTATTACTATATCAGCACCTAGAACAGCGGCTGGCACATAGTAGGCAGCTGATTCTTTATTTGCCAAATAAATAAATAAATTTGAGGAGGAAATAGTTAATATTTCTGCTGATTTTAGAGTATTGTAGCAGAGAAAGACCCCCTAGCAGGGGTTTAAAATTGATCCCTTGATTCCCACTGAAGAGGAAGATTGTTAATGTGGGACAAGTTTAAGGAAATAATTCAGTCAAGGAACTAGAAATGGGAACATTTAGTGGGACAAGAGAACAGGCATAAGTTTTTTCTGTGTTTGTTTTTGTTTTTTCTGTATTGATTGCTCTTTTAATGTCAGTTTCTCTTCCGGTTACCTTCCTTTTTGGAACACCTTTCTCTGTTTACTTCTTTCTCTAGAATCTATTGGCACCCTCACCAATTTTGCTTGTTGTTGCTTCTCTCTTTCTGAATTCATCTCCTATGCAGCAGGGACAGGAAAAGAAACCACAGGTTTGTACTTCAGAAAGTATCTAACTATAGCCCTTGTTTTCTCCTCAGTATCTGTTGGAATATGCATCATCCCCTCACTTCAGTTATGAAAGAATATTGGCATCACAAAAATATGCAGATCATTTTAGTGTTGGGAGATGCCAATTCAATAATACACTTTGATATTAGCACAGACTCCATGTGCCATAAACTCTCTTCACATTGACATTTCTCTTATTAAGGCTCCTATGTGTAAACCAAGGAACAAGTATCATAGTGGTTACTTTTAGAAACTTGAAATCTCTTCCTTCAAGAAGCTTATAATTTATGGCTACTGCTCATTAAGATCTGAAGGGAAATTGAATTGCTTTATCTTGAAACTCTCAAAACTAAGCTAACCAAGGGACAAATCTGAGTGTCAGATTCGTATTTAACAGAGATGACACAGATGGTTATATGAGTTAGTTGATATGTATAATATTTCACAAACAGAAGAATTCTAAAGTTTTCTTAACTGAAGGCACAAATAAACCACCAAGGAAAGCTATGCTACTTTTTAAATAAGTTGTTGTGCTCATCTAAACATTTACAGGATTTTAGTGTGAACTCATTATATTTGATGTTGTTTTGTATGGACCCCCAGTAGAGTTCATACTCTATTTTGTTTGTTTGTTTGTTTGTGTGTTTTGAGACGGAGTCTCGCTCTGTCCCCCAGGCTGGAGTCCAGTGGCGCGATCTCGGCTCACTGCAAGCTCCGCCTCCCGGGTTCACACCATTCTCCTGCCTCAGCCTCCCGAGTAGCTGGGACTGCAGGCGCCCGCCACCATGCCCGGCTAATTTATTATTGTATTTTTAGTAGAGACGGGGTTTCACCGTGTTAGCCAGGATGGTCTCGATCTCCTGACCTCGTGATCCCCCGGCCTCGGCCTCCCAAAGTGCTGGGATTACAGGCGTGAGTATGTTTATACTAAAAACATAGTATGCACTCGATAATCATTCATTTATTCAACCAACACATAATTATTAAGCACCTACCAATTATTTTCCAGACACTATACAGAAGCAGAGTTTATTGGCAAGAAAGATATCAGAGATCTTACCTCATGCAATCATAGGGCAGAAAAAAAGTAGACATTAAGTGAAAAATTACTAAATTATGATTAGTGTGAAAATAATTCCTCTACTGGCCAAACAAAAATGGTAATTTTAATATTCTGCTTTAGCAGTTAATTTCTTACATTCACTATGATATTGTTAGCATCATTGGTGATGAATCTCAGCTGAGGTGATAGTGATACCAAACTGCTAGTTGAAATAGACCTTTAAAAAATATGGTTTGGAAAAAGAGCCCAGTGGATTTGGCTATGTAAACACTTTGAAGGATTGAAAGAGCCACATTAAATACACTCTGAGGCTGGCCAAGCCACTGAAGACTTCACCAAGTCAGTGGTGGGTCAAACGGAAGAATTTGCATTTTCTTTACGCAATCTCAGTCTCTCCAGAAAAGTGGCCACCTTTACATCTGCGGTCTCTCTCTGTCTCTTTCTGATTCTGTCTCTGTGTCTCTCTCCCTACTTTAAAAAATGGTTACATTATCAAAAGTTTCTTATATGCCATAACCAACTGTTGAATTTATTTTTTAAGTTTTTGTATTGAGTATGAGTTTATTTGAACTGTAAAATATATAAGCAAATATTAGCAAATCACATAAACAAGATATTGTGATTTATTCTTTTACTACTGAAGGAATAGCTATTGGTTGCTCTAAAAACACACTTCTAATGGCTAACGTAAAACACATGCTATCTGAACTCTGAATTGTGGCAATATTATAACTCTAAAAAAAGGAGTGGCAGGAACATTCTATTCATTCTCTTTGGTCTATAAGTCTAAGCTGTTCACAAATGCAGTCGCTGACCCAGGGCCTGGCCAGACCGCAGCAAAGAATGAGGGAGAGGAACTCAATCGCATTTGACAGTCTCAAAACACATGAATCCTCCCGGGTGCTTTTTCCTATGTCATGCTCCTTTTTGGAAAAGATACGGCTATGACAAGAAAGAGAAATTATTTTTTCTTTCCCACATAAAGATGCAAAAGTTATCCTGAATTGTGTCTCTCTGTGCCCAGAGCTATGGAAGGCCTAGATTGCTGGAGGAGACAGAAACTGTAATTTCATAATTTTAATTATACTTTTGTCAGTCATTTACCATCCCAAATAAAGAGGGAACATTTTCGAGTCAAGTAGGCATGCATTTACATCCTGTAAAGGTTTCAGCTTTTTAATCTATAAAATAATGATAATATTTGCTCCAATATTAGCCCTACCTCCAACATGTACTTATTGGATAATTGCCATATGCCAAGCACAATTGTGGGTAATGGGAAGGAAGCAGTGAGCAAGACAGGCTAACTTTCAACTTTATGAAGCTTACCTTCCACCTGTTGTCACTGGAACAAATGAGATATGTGTGCAGAAGCCCTGCTGTATAAAAGGTATTCAATAAATAATTACTTCCTTTTATAACAAGAAAATAAAACTGTATGCACAACATAAAACTAGGAACTTTTATCAATATAGAGGCTATAAGGAATGATATTTTAAAGGAAGTTTTATAACATCTGGATCTGAAGTTTTATTCTTATCAGATGAACTTTGATGTTCTTTCTCTTAATTCCAAAATAAACAGGCATTAAATCTGCTTTAACTTTCATTAATCAACTAAAAAGCCTCTATTCCATTGTCTATATCTTACTAAATTCTTTGGGATATGTTTTTAAAAAACTGTCTATACATTTAGCATCATCTCTCATTATTCCAGAATGTGAATCTGTCAATTGCTGCACTGTTCACAACTCAATTCATCCCAAGCTCTGTGCATGTCTACGTTGTTTACTAATTCAGAGCATCTTTCTCATGCTCATAACCTATTCAAGATCCTGTGCATGAAGATCCTATGCAAGTCCTGCTTCCTTCACAATATTTCCCCAGATTGATCTAGAGTGCTTTGGAGTTCCCCTTTTTTCACTTCTTTTATCTACTGTGACCATATTTTCCAGACCATACCCATATTATAGAGAGTTCTCTTTTATTCTCTAAAGTACACATTGCTGTGAGTTGTTATTTAATTTTTCCAGAGTGCTTCCCCTGTCTACTCAAATTGTATAAGCTCCAGATGGGAACTCAATACTGAATGGGTGAATGATAAAATCAATAAATCAATCAAATTGCATGTGATTATTCTCTCATGAGGATAACTCATATGTTGTTAACTTATTTTGGCAAATAAATTGGTGGAAGAGTTATTGGTCTGGGAGGATAATTTCTGGCTCTTCAGAAATCACAGCCCATGCCAATGTGTATGTTACCTGATCCAGGAATAATAAAAAGGTCTTATAGGGATGTGTGCTAGAAAAGTAGTTCTGGGTGGATCAGGAGAAATATGGACCATGAATGCCACAAAAATTCCTGTAATGTTCTTGAAATGCTTGCTCCACTTTCTCCCTTTGGTGGGTAAAGGAAAAATGAAAACTAGCGGTACACCAAAATCAGGAAAATTACTAAACATTGCCCTCAATTGGGATTCTGGCAAATAGTCAGCCTTATTATGTTTTACTGAAAGCTAATGTCATTATTGCACCACATTCTAAAGAATAAATGGTTTTTAATGAGCAATGTGTTGATTAAAAGGAAGAGTACAAATGAAATCCATTTTAATGAGTGATAATAATAATAAAACAGTAATGAAAATTAGTTAATGAAAGGTAGAATAACAAATGTCACTTTTCCTTTTCCTGATTTCTCATTGCAGTATGTCCTTATGTCTCTTCCAGATCTAGCACTAACCTGTATTCTGAACCAAATCAATGTAACTAGTAAAGTGTAAAATGCTGGAGCATTACGGTGATGATCTTTGTTCTGCCATTGCTGACATCTAAATTTACTGATATTGATATAATAAGCCATTTCGTGTTTTCATTTGTATAAACCAAATGTGTGGCTTAGCTTATTGATTTTATAATCAAGATATAGTTTACTGAAGTGTTTATAAAATGAACTCGTAAACACATATTCTTTATTCACTTCTTAATCCCACAAACCCCTCTTATGTGTATAGATTTAATTTTGGTAGAGTGGTGGATGTGAAAATGGCATACAAATGAAGATTGGCTATGTAGGCATTTCACTCTAGGAAAAGACTGTATGTCAAAGAAGGAAATAAGAAAGAATTTAAAATGTGGTAGCTTTCCATTTTTGTTTTTGTTTTTTTAAAATAGGTAGAGAATAAGTTAGTGAAAACTGAATGATGGTTACCGGAGGCTGGAAGGGTGGTGGTAGGGGAAATGGGGATGGTTAATGGTACAAAATTATAGCTGGATAGAATGAATAAGATGTAGTATTTGAGAACACAACAGGGAGATTGCAGCCAACAATAATTTATTATACATATAAAAAATAACTAGAAGTATAATTGGATTATTTAAATACAATGAAAGGATACTTGCTTGAGTGATGGATACCCCCATTAACCCTGACGTGACTATTATGCATTATTTGCCTGTATCGAAATATCTCATGTACCTCATAAATATATACACCTACTATGTCCCCACAGAAGTTTTTTTAAATACTGAAGAAAAAATACCTGTTTGAAGGCAAACCGAAAAATGACAGACTCTTTACAGTTCACATATTTCCACATACAATACCTAACTTAACCGTCAAACAATCTCGTTATTAGTGTCATTCTCATTTCACAAATTAGGACATTTAAACTCATTTGGGTGAAGGTATTGTCTCAAGTCATGTGCTTAAATAAGCAATAGAAGCAGGACCACTACTCAGTCTTGTTTGCTAGCTGTTTATTCCAAGTTCTTGGGAATGTAGTCTAAGATACAGGTGGAAGAGGTATTTTTTAAAATGAGGCACAAACTCTTCTGCTAAGGAAGGATCAAAAAGTATTTTCTGTTTGCCAAAAGATGAAAGAGTTAAGGATGTACAAATCCAGGGGGTGATGTGGAAATGTTCTAGAGTATTATGGAGAGATAGAAGACAATCTGGAATACCTGCTAGGGGTAATGAGTCCCAAAAAAAGAGTAGGAAAACGTTCTGAACAATTGTAAACAGGTTACCCAGAAACCATAACTGTAGAGGATAGGTCAAGTTTATTAATGATGCACTTCTATTTAGGAATACTTAGCATTATTCTAATATGCATATATGTGCTTACTGTCTGCTGCTAAAAACCGCTATTTGAATTGCACAGTTCAGTTTAAAGGATTGAATGCAATAAACGGTGCTGGGAAAACTGAGTATCAATATGCAGAAGAATGAAACTTGACCATGTCTCACCTTAAAAAAGAATCAAATCAATAATGGATTAAACACTTAAAACTAACACCTCAAACTGTGAAACTACTAGAAGAAAACATTGGGGAAACTATCCAGGACATGGGTCTGGGCAATGATTTCTTGAGTAATACTCCACAAACACAGGCAACCAAAGCAAAATTGAACAAATGGGATCGCATCAAGTTAAAAAGCTTCTGCACAGCTAAGAAAACAAAACAATCAACAAAGTGAAGAGACAACCCACAGAATGGGAGAAACTATTTGTAAGCTATCCATCTGAAAAGGGATTAAAAGCCAGAATATATATGGCACTCAAACAACTCAATAGGATAAAACCTAATAAACTGATTAAAAAATGGGCAAAAGGTCTGCATAGACATTTCTCAAAAGAAGACATACAAATGACAAACAGATCTATGAAAAGTTACTCAACATCATTGATCATCAGAGAAATGGAAATCGAAACTACCATGAGATATCAACTTACCTAGTTAAAATGTTTTGTTTTGTTTTCCAAAGGATAGACATTAACAAATGCTGACGAAGATGTGGAGAAAAGGGAGCCCTCATACACTGTTGATGGGAATATAGATTAGTACAGCTACTATGGAGAAGAGTTTGAAGGTTCCTAAAAAAACTAAAAATAAAGCTACCATATTATCCAGCAATTCCACTCCAAGTATATACCCCCAAAAAAGGAAATCAGTATATAGAAGAGATATCTGCACTCCCATGTTTATTGCAGCACTGTTCACAATAGCTCAGAAGGAAGCAACCTCACTGTCCATCAGCAGACGAATGGATAAAGAAAATGTGGTACTTACACACAGTGAAGTAGTAGTCAGCCATGGAAAAGAATGAGAACCTGTCATTTCCAACAACGTGGATGGAATTGTAGGTCATTATGTGAAGTGAAATAAGCCAGGCACAGAAATACAAACATCACATATTTTCACTTATTTGTGGGAGGAAAAATTAAAATAATCATGGAGCTAGAGAGTAGAAGGATGGTTACCAGAGGCCAGGAAGGGTAGTCAGGGAGGGTGGGGGGAAAGGGAGATGGTTAATGGGTACAAAAGACAGTTAGAAAGAATAAGTAACACCTAGTAATTGCTAGCACAATGGAGTGACTATAATAAATAATAATTTAATTGTTCACTTAAAAATAAGTAAAATAATATAATTGGATTGTTTGAAACACAAAGGATAAATGCTTGAGGTGATAGATACCATGTTTACCCTGATGTGACTATTATGCATTGCATGCCTGTATCAAAATATCTCATGTAACCCATAAATATAGACACCTACTATGTATCTACACAAATTAAAAATTTAAAAGTAAAGGCTTCAATGTTTCTTATTTTTACTCATTAAATCAAAATAAAATTTGTAGAGCAATTATTGCCAACCCCCACCTTTTTAAAGAAAATGGAAGTTTTAAGTTGTTAATTAATTATAATTGCATATCTCTTTTAGTCCTTCTGCCACAGAAAATGAAATTTGATTTCTTGTACAGTATAAAGGTAGCCTCTCCACCCATATAATAGACCCTGTAACCACTAATCTTCCCTCAAAATCCTCTCCTATTTTTAACCTTTTCTATTGGCCCTGGTCCTTTTCATTAATATAATGGTGATCAGTCTCTTCTCTCACGTATTAAAGAAAAATGTCTTGCCTCAATCTGTTATTTCTCTCTACTTCTAGCTCTAAATTTCTCTGTCTGTTTGTGGGCATCAGAATAGTAGATGAGAACATCTGACTTATTAACTGTGGGATTTCAGACAAATTACTTAATCTTTAAAGGCCTTTATTACTTTATCAGTTTTATCATTGTAAAGTGATGATAATATTTATTATATAGATTTGTAATGATTCAATGGCTTAGTTACTACAGAGCACTTAGTCCAGAGCCTGGCACATGGTAAGCACTCAAAAGGCTTAACTGTATTATAATTATTATTAGAATACTAACTCACACATAAGCCTCCTGGAAATGAAATCTATACATGTTATCTCCAATTCTTCATTTCCTATTTATTCCTTAATTTAATCATCTTCATCTAAAGACTATACTAAAATTCTTCCTAAGTCAATGGCTTTCTAATTAAAATAATTTATTGAATATTTTTATATTCTCTTACTTGACCTTTCTACAGCATTGAGGTCAGTGACTGCTTCCTCCTTTGAAAAATTCTCGTCTGCTTTGGCTTCTAAAATACGAATCTTTTTTTTTATCTTCCTCTTGCTTTTCTAGTCACTTCACCATTCTGAGTCCTCTTTTCTCTACTTTCCCCTAAGAGTTTGAATACCCTAAAGATTCCTTCTTGAACCTTCACTTTGTTAACCTTGTATGCTCTCTTAACTTAGATATATTACCTCGACTCCTCCTATGCACTGAGGACTTCCAAATCTTTGGTATCTAAATTCTGTATGCCGTTGGCTACTAAACATTTCCACTTAGATGTCCTATTGCCATCTCAAATGCAATACAACCATAATTAATTTTAAATTTCCCTTTGTTTCCCCTGTTAAACCATCTTTAAAGTTGTATTTCCTTACGTATTGAGACACCAAGAAAGAAATCTGGGTAGCATTGTAGACATCTTGCTCATACCTCATTAGCAACCAAGTTCTTAGACCGCACTTTCTGCATATCTCCTTTTTAATCCATTCCTTTCTTTTCATCCTACTCATTGCCAGTGCCTCAGGCTTCTTTCATTAACCTTTTACAGTTTCTCTCAGCTTCTAGTTTCCCTGTCCTTCAGTCTACTTTCCATGCTTCTTACCCAGTGATCTTTTCACTAAATATCTTAAGTTATTTTCACATCACAGAGAAAAATCCTGAACATACTAAGCCTAGTGCACGAGGCCTTTTCTTCTGTAACCTCTCCGGCCACCATGCCCTACCCAGCTTCTCCAGTGTCTCTCTTTTCACTTCGGTTGTCTCTTGTTAGAGTACTGTTAGCCCCTTTACTTTCCACCTAGCTCTGTCTTGTAATTTTTCAATCTTAACTCAAGCATTTTCTTCTCTAAGAAGTCCTTCTAGAATCCTTTCAATGTGCAATTTACACGTCCCTCCTCTGCACTCTCGTAGTACCTTGTTCATTCTGCCGTTACCAAACTCAGCAATTATTTTCCAAGGTGAAACACCTATTTGCATTCTCCCATTAAGGTAATTCTTGAGGAAAGGTATCATGTTTAGAACTCCAGCATTAGTTCACAACCTGGCACGTCATAGCTACTCAATACTCTCTGGAAAGATGATGATTCACAAACAAGTTTGTTGCTTTACCTATTGCATCATATCGCCTGTACATGTGTAATGATTTATCAGAAATATTTATTATAAATGTTTTAGTATTATGTATACATTAAATAGTTCTAAAAGGTATTCAAACATTGACTTGAGAGTTCTATCCCTCTATTACTATTAACCTGCTATGTATCCATATCTATCTTACCGAAATTCATTGAGCCTCTTTTTTTTTTTTTTTTTTTTGAGATGGAGTCTCGCTCTGTCGCCCAGGCTGGAGTGCAGTGGCGTGATCTTGGCTCACCACAACCTCCGCCTCCTGAGTTCAAGCGATTCTCCTGCCTCAGCCTCCCAAGTAGCTGGGACTACAGGAACCTCATGTATTATGCTGTTAAACAAGAGGATTAGACTACTTTTTAGTTACTTTATACATTCTAAACTTTTAAATTTCTGACAGATTTTATCTTATTTTTTGATTAATACCTTTTGGAGGTAATTCTAAATAATATAAAGATATATGAAATAATATAAGGATGCTTTTTGGCTTTGGCATGTTACATTATTTTCACATTTATTTTGTTTACCTTTTCTTTTCCATTTACCAGTACCTTAGTGTCATTTTCCAATCTAAAAATATAGAGCCTTATTTATATGTGATAGCAACATCATAAATAGCTTGATGTATTGAAAACACTAAACTAAACATGTTACAGAAGAAGCTGGTGCCTTTCATTGGTATTATCTCCTTCAAGATGACAGGCAATCTCAGGAGGCCAGAGAATTCTTAGTTGTATGAGTTTGTGACTAATAGGTGGTTTGATGTGACAAGAGCTGGCCGTCTTGGGAAATTGAACTATCTTTATGCTCAATACCCTTTGTGTCTCATTCTTTGTAGGTTATTGTTGGAGGCCTTTGGGGACCTCTTTTACAGTTTGCATTCACAGAAAATATGAGATCAGCAAGAACTCTGTAGTTTTACTGTCATTATTGATCTGCTGCCATTCCATTCTGTAGCTAATTTGCTTGTTAGCAGTTATTCTAAAAGCTATTTATATTTTCAGTATAACCTATGCTGCATACTGGGCTTTATATTTTTCTGGATTAAGATAAAATAATACAACTTACCACCAAAAGACTGTGCTTTAGGCTAAATATTTTCTGATTTTCCATTTACAAATAAGAGTTTAAAAATCAAAAACATATTACTGTGAATGTGATCTCTTTGATAAACACCATATAAGTTCAGACACATTAAGGGAAAAACAATGACCATATTCATGAGAAAATATCATTTGTAAAAAATCTTTTAGCCTATAAATTTATATACAAATTACAAGAAGAGTGATGTATTAGGAATTCATGAACACTGTTTCTAAAGTTGGGATTTATTTGAAGTTGAACACTCAATAAATGTGTGGGCTGATTGACTGATTCTCTGTTCTGAAGGTAACCATAATACACCCTTGTTATTCATGCCAATTGTTGAAGGTAAAAAGCCTCTTTCTGCCTCTCTGGAACAGGAGGTGTGTGTCCCCTTTCTGAGGTCAATTTCTGACACATGTATTCATCCGAAATGAATTTCTAGTGAGCTGGATGTGCATATGTGTGTAGCACCCATGAGCACAACACCTAAATAGGGAAAATCCCTGGGAAAAACTAATACAAAACAAGCAATAAAAAACAAAAACAGCAGGCTTACATAAGATATATTTATCTCAATTTAAATATGTAAAGTGAATGAAATATATATTTGATTTATTTTAATCATATACCTGAGCTATGGAAAGCAAAATATCCTCATTCCAAATTTTGAAGAAACTGCAATCCAAATACAAGCACTTGAGCTGATGTTAATGCTGCCGCCTGGTGGTGGGGTAGGGATATGCAGCGTTTTCAATGAGAAAGAGCCTTGGATTTTCATACTCAGCCAAGGAGTTGCCGCGGCATAAGAAAATGTAACTGAAAACTGCATAAAATTCAGAGCATCAAGCGGCTGCAAAGACACTGAAAAGGAGGGCTAGAAAATATATGGCCAGTGTACTAAAAAGGAAAATTATAACAGATTATGGTGACGGAAAAAGTTCTCCAATGAGAATTTATACCCCCACATTCTTTGATTTTACACTACCACATGGTTCCAAATTAAAACATGTACAAAAATACTCAAGAAATGGTCTCTGGATAGTGATGCCCGGCAGAAGCAAAGTAAAATTGTTCTGGAAATGTCTTACATAATTTAGGATAGATATAAAAGATTTCCTTAAAAAAATGGAGACATTATGAAAAAGATTTGGGTGGAGAGAGGAAACAGAACTTCTAGAAATAAAACATGTTACTCAGTGACATAGAAATACTAATGAAAATGCTTAACAAGGGATCAGAACCATCTGAAGAATGAATTAGGAAAACGAATGAGTGATTTGAGAAGGCAACTGACATTGTAGCAAAGAGAGATAAAGGGAAAGTTTAAAAGGGAGTATAGAAGAAAAGGGGGATAAAATAATACTGATACTAGTGGTACAAAAAAGATAGTACACGTAATACTGCTAGTATCAGAGAACAGAAAAAACAGCAATAAAAGGGAAGAGACAATATTTGAAAATGACTGTTAACTTTCCAAAATTTACTAAAGACATTGGATTCATCAGTCATCGATTCAAAAAGGACAATAAGACTAGTATTGGATAGATATAAGTAAATCCCCATCTGTGACATACATGTTTGCAGAACATTAAAAACAAATAGGTTTTTAAAGGGAACAGAAGAAAGAGAGATAAACTACAAAGGGATGACAATTAGAATAGCAGCAGAATTCTCAGCAGCAAAACAACACTGAAAAATTTTAATAATAATCGGATTTTCCAAGTGCTAAAAAGGGAAACAACTCTTAGCATACTCAGCCAATCTGAACTATTATTCAAGAGTAAGAGCAAAATAAAATTATTTTGAATCTGGGAAAAAGAGAACATACTACTCTCCAACATTTATTAGAAGTAAAACTAAAAGGTATACCTCAGGAGGGAGAAAACTCCTAGAAAGAAGGAGCAGGATATGAAAAGCCTTCGTGAGTAATAAAACTGATGAAACTTGAGATTTATATAAATAGATATTGATTATCTAAAGCAATAACAACCAATACTATAAAATATTAAAGTGTAAAATGGGTGGTTTATTGTGAATAGGGCACTTAGGGCCTTTGTGTTATTCAGGAGAAGAGAAATAGCATTGCTCAAACCTTTGCTTCGTTGAGTCAAGTGTGCATGTTAAAAATATAGGGAAATGTCTAAAAATTAAAAATACAAGTAGAGTAAAAGGATGTAAGAATACTTTATTAATTAAATGGAAAGTCGTGATGGAGTAGAAGATTAAAAAAGATTTGTGCATTAATAAAAAAGCTTATTAATTAGAAAGCATAAAATCACATGGTGGGATTTTTTCCAAATTTATCAATAATCATAATTGTGAACATAATGGATATTTTATTTTAAAAAGTGAATGTCAGGTGGAAGGGAAAAAGTCTCATCCAGTTATGTAATATAAAGTGCTGATGATGATAAGAAGAAAAAATACAATAAGCAAATTTTAACTGACAAAAAGCTGATACAGCTTCATAGAATGATAATATCATTCTCTTATTGGAAAGAGCTTTCCCTTTTCCCTGTGTATTTATTTATGAGCAGAAAAACCTTAGGAACAAGTCTTATATTCGTATGTACATACATACATATACATATACATATATATGTGTCTGTAAATATATATTACAAAAATTATGAAACTTTGTTTTAAGATATTAAAAAAGTCTTCTTATTCTATAAACAAAACTCAATGTTCAATTCCAGGAAGATGAATGATTTAACTATCAAAAGAATAACTTTAAAACTTTGGGCACAAACTATAGGCAATATCTTTATCAATCTACTATAAAACAATAGTAATTAAGGTAATATGATATTGGCATAGGCATAGACAAAAACTTAGTAAAACAGAGCCTTGAAACTAACTCATGTGCATATGTGAACATGATACATGGCAGAGGTGATATTACAAATAAGTGGAGAATAGATTCAATGAATGATACGTCAGTTAATCACGAGAAAGATAAAACCACATAACTAAATCACATGCTATTCAGAAAATTAATTTCAAATGGACAAAATACCTAAACAAAAACCAAAATTTTTAAAGTAGTTAGAAGAACCATAGACAAATATGATTAAGTCTTCAGAGTACAAAACAATTTCTTATAAAAATACAAACTAAAAGAAAAATGTAATGAAGATTGCTGCTGCCTAATTAAAACCATTCATAGAAAAGCAGTTAACTTAAACAAAATGAAAATCTGTGGACTGATGTGATATTTGCATCCCATATAAAATAAGAAAGAATTAATATCCAGAATAGACACAGAACTTCTACAAATCGCTAGGGTTGAACAACTCATAGAAAATATGAGGAGAATATAAACAGGAAATTCAGAGAGGAGAAAATCAGATGGACAGAAAGATAAAATATATTACCAACCTTAACAGTAACTAAATCAATTAAGATTAAAATAATCACAACGTATAATTTCACTACTCAGATAAAAAATACTAAGTCTGCTAACACCAAGTCTTGACAATGTGGGAAAATGAGAACACCTACAGAGCTTAAATTATTAGAATGACTTTGGAGAGCAATTAGGCAAAATGTGAATAGTCAATAAGCCTTAAGCTGTGTGTGTGTGTGTGTGTGTGTGTGTGTGTGTGTGCACGCGCGCGCACAGAAAAAAGTATTTTCAATCTGGGTGCAGTGGCTCATGCCAGTAGCTACTCAGGAGGCTGAGGCAGAAGGATTGCCTGAATCCAGGAGTTTGAGGCCAGGCTGGGCAACATAGTGAGACCCCATCTCCGAAAATAAAAAGAAAATACGTGTTTTCATGTACACATTTTGTGATATATGAATTATATATGTAAACTAAGTTGTATGCTTGATAAGGAGCTGCCACTGTGATTATTTTTTTAGAAAGTGGAATGTACCTTTAAAAAATGCTTTGGGTTGGCTGGGCGTGGTGGCTCACGCCTGTAATCCCAGCACTTTGGGAGGCTGAGGCAGGTGGATCACGAGGTCAGGAGATCGAGACCATCCTGGCTAACACGGTGATACTCTGTCTCCACTAAAAATACAAAAAAAAAAAAAAAAAAGAAAGAAATTAGCTGGGCCTGGGGGCTGGTGCCTGTAGTCCCAGCTACTCGGGAGGCTGAGGCAGGACAATGGCGTGAACCCGGGAGGTGGAGCTTGCAGTGAGTAGAGATCGCGCCACTGCACTCCAGCCTGGGCGAAAGAATGAGACTCCGTCTGAAAAAAAAAAAAAAAAAAAAATGCTTTGGGTAAGTACTTACAATTGCTGGAAAAAAGCATTTGCATAATTAAGGTGATCATTTTATAACAGAGACTACACTAAATCAGGCTTAGTTACAAAGTTTAGTAAATTCCAACAACTGTATGAATAGTTTTAAAAAGGTTGTTACACATACAGGAATTGTATAGTTTAACAAATATATCAGTGGGTGTTTTTTTTTTTTTTAAATCCATGCAATAAAGGTTGCTGACTTTGTATACACTACCATCCAAAATAATCCACTCACAAATAAACGCGCTCCGGCTTGAATACACTTCTGTCTCTATATCAGTTCTTTCCCCTTCTCATATGTAAGAGGAGTACATTTTATTTCTTTTTCCAAATGCTAGCTTTGATCTTTGTCATTTGGATTCCAAGATGGAGAGGGATTATAGAGGGTTCCTAAACCTTGTTTGTTTCAGGAAACTTTCTCTTTCCACTGAGCTTCCAAATATGTTCAGTTCACTGTCTAGAAGGATAAAAAGGAATACAAACCTCACTTATATTTACTGATCACTTTGAAAACTATTCTATTTCTTTCATTCATTTCTCTTCCAAACTAGGGAGGAGTTAATTTTAAAAAGGACTAAGAGTTTTAATAAAATACAAGATAAAATTTAGCAAACAATATTAAAAAATGCTAATTAGGTTATATTAAATCTAATATAGATTAACGTAAAATGTAAAAATTTCCTTTGATAGTACCTGAAAATGCTGAGATATATTATACAGTGGGTCCCATTTGAAGTCATGTTAAAAGGGCAGAGATCTTATTGGAAACTGTTTATTTGAGAGTCTGCCAGTGCTTAGCTATTCCACCGCATTTAAACTGGGTTACTCATATTTATGAAAAATTCCTAAGTGCTATGAGGATGTGGATAGTACTGGCGGAGTCAGTTTTCAGATCCTCCCCTTCCATAGGCACTCTTTTCTTCTAAAATGCATCCATTGTAGAACAAGCCCATAATTGAAGCATCTTACAGGTTCTTCTTTCTTACACTGTTTTACCCAATTATTCTTTTCGCACCCTACAAAGAAAGGTATATTTCTCATCCCTGCTGAATCTTAAGAAGGTACACTGGTAAGAGTTAAAAGAAAATATAAATCAATATTTAGGTACTTGGCAGAATCTTCTTTATTCAAGGCATAATTTACATCTTTCTGTATCTTATGCCCATGTCTGTCAAGGCTAAATTGTGACATTAAAAACAAAATATCTGGTTTCATGTTGAGATATGCTGAAATCAAATATATTGTACAGCCATGATGGCAACTTTCACTTAGTGATCTCACCTCTTCCATTCCCCAGCTATGGTAAAAGAATGCAGAGTTCCTGAGAGTCCAAGAGAGATCTTCAATAAAAATAATTACTCGTGTCTGTTTATTTATATCTGTCTGTCTAGCTAGCTAGCTAGCTATCTTTTTATTTATGTGTCTATAATTCTATCAGTCATCTATGTATCATTTAGAACTAATCTATGTAAAATGTGTAAAAGGACTAAAGGTCAATTTCAGTATTCTATGGCATGTGTCCTTTTCCATTTTCGGCATTTATTCTGGGTTCTGATAAAGAATTTGATGAGATATTTTTCCATGTATTGGCCTATGTTGTGATTCTTAGTTGCATAGTTTGTATGATTTCAAGGAAGGTGAGTTGAAAATTTTACATTCATCTTTGACAGATGGGTCTTATATTTTTAACTTAATGGAATGTGTTTCACAGATAAGTGAGTGTTTTAAATTTTCTCGAGCATTTATTTCTGTTCATAGAAAAACATTCTTGATAACTTTTGCCAAATACTTAGAGATACCATTGATCTGTATTCACTCTTTATTTGGTTGCTGCTTACTGTCTTTTACCCTTCGAGTATCTTATCATTTATAAATATACACATTATTTTTTAGGTTTAATTTTCCTTAATAGGAAGATATTTGAAGTTTACTGTAAATAATAAACTAATCTATAGTCATTACTTACTAGCAGCAAAAATGCTGCTCTCAGTCTTTCTCTCTCTCCCTGATTTGTTAATTTCAAGAAAGTATATTAAACTACACTTTTAAGAGCAAGAATCTGCTTATTTATAGCCATAGGACAATATGTCCCCAAAATGCAATCTAACAGGTCTTAAAATTTATATAATCAGTTTTACTGAATTAAGATCAATTCTTTTTTCTCGTATGTTCTTATGCTTCTCAATTCTGTTGAACATAACTATAAACTTAAAATTTTTAAAGTGATATTACTAATATTTTTCTATAACGTTTCTCAAGTGTCTATTTCTTATGTCGTGTCTTTTTAATGAACTTTGAAATAATTATGAATTTGAAATCTGAAATTAATCTAAAAATGGTCCTGGATTTACAATGGTTTGACTTACAATTTTTTTGACTTTATAGTGGTGCAAAAGTGATATGCATTCAATAGAAACTAAACTTTCTTGAATTTTGATCTTTTTCCGATTTGGCAATATAATATAAGATACCCTCTTGTGATGCTCGCAGCTCCCAGTCAGCCATGCAAGCGATCACAAGGGTAAACAGCTGAGATTCTGCAGTGTGCTCTGCTGCCAGATGATCTTGCCCAATTGTAGGCTAATGTAAATATTCTGAGCATGTTTAAGGTAGGCTGGACTAAGCTGTGATGTTTGGTGGTTAAGCATATTACGTGCATTTTTGACATGACATTTTCAATTTATGATAGATTTATGTGCATACAATCCTATTATAAGAGGAGCATCTGCATAGATATTCACAACCCATGGGGAAAGTAATAATACAAAAATTCCAAAAATATTTTTTTCTTACCCTAGATTCATATTTTTTTTTTTTAGTTAAAAACTAATGTGTCCTTTAGTGAACTACTGAGAGGAGTTAATTAATGGTTTTTTGACAAGTCTCGGTAAAACTCTTTGGTGGACTTTCTTGAAATAATGAAAGTGAGGGACTTAAATGAGAAGCAAATGTGTCTGCAAGTAAGGTTTGCCATGCTTTGCATTCTATGAGATTAAAGGAGGATGTTAGCATTGTCAATTGATGGAGAGGCCTAAAATATCTTTAATTATAGATTGTTATGTATAATTTTACACACATTTCCTTGTAGAAGTTCCAACAATATAGTGACATTGGTAATATATTTCTGACATTTCTATCTACTGAATAATATGCATTAGATTTCTCAGAATTTGCATCCATAAATGTGAAAGTGAATAAGTTGGATGCTGAATTCTGTCTCAATTTGCACAAAGTAGTATTTAAAAACAAACATTCAAAACATAATAGATGTTGGCAAGGTTGTGGAGAAAAAGCAAGTCATACACTGTTGGTGAGAATGTAAATTAGTTCAGCCACTGTGGAAAGCAGTTTGGTGATTTCCCAAAGAACTAAAAATTAGAACTATAATTCCACAGGTATTGCTAGATTACTAATATCCCATTACTAGATATATACCCAAAGAAAAATAAATAATTCTACCAAAAATACACAGGTACTCATATGTTCCTCACAGCACTATTCACAATAGCAAGTACATGGAATCAAACTAGGTGGCTATCAATGGTGGATAGGATAAAGAAAATGTGGAACATATATACAGTAGAATACTACACAGCCATAAGAAAGAACAAAATCAGATCCTTTGCAGCAATATCAATGCAGCAGGAGGCCATTATCCTAAGCAAATGAATGCAGAAAGAGAAAACCATATAACGCATGTTCTGACTTATAAGTGGGAGCTAAACTTTGGGTACACATGGACATAAAGATGGGAACAATAGACACTGGATAATACAAGAAGAGGGAAGGAGGGAAGGTAGCAGGGGTTGAAAAAAACTACCTATTGGATACTAAGCTCACTACCTGGGTGATGGATTCATCATACCCCAAACCTTAGCATCACACACATGTGCCCACTGAATCTAAAATAAAAGTTGAAAAAATAAACAAAATAAAACAGTATTAACTCTAAAAAATAAATATATACATAAACACATGTTAAATATATAAATAAATATATAAAACAAATTTAAAAATATATTAAATAAATATATCAAAAAGCAGAGATATTAACTAATTGGGAGGTGCCCCATTCATTTTAACAAAAATAAATTTTAATATAATTTGACTTTAGTATTTATTAATATTTATAATGTATATTTTATTTTGACTGCCAGTTGTTAACTAATGATAATTGTAATGTCTATGCTGAAGACATTTGTTAATACTTAGAATTTAATAATATATTTTAATAAGTTAATATTTCTCTATATATATACACCTAATTGTATCAGCAAAGCATGATAAAGTGATTATTAGAAGGCTTTTGTAAGAATAAAATGTTGTTGCAAAGTGGAACAGAGATATTAGTTCAAGGAGAAAAAGGAAATGATTTAATATTTCTGTTAAATGAGAGCTTAGCCATGTATTTTTAAAATTGATAATGGTTAGTATCACATTTCTATAGGATTTTGATTCCACTAGAAATAATTTTTTTTCTTTTTTTATGCCTGCAGACTACATGTTTTTATTATTATTATTATACTTTAAGTTCTAGGGTACGTGTGCACAACGTGCAGGTTTGATACGTAGGTATGCATGTGCCGTGTTGGTTTGATGCACCCATCAACTCATCATTGACATTTTAGGTATTTCTCCTAATGCTATCCCTCTCCCAGGACCGCACCCCCTGACAGGCCCTGGTGTGTGATGTTCCCCGCCCTGTATCCAAGTGATCTCATTGTTCAATTCCCACCTATGAGTGAGAACATGTGGTGTTTGGTTTCTGTCCTTGTGACAGTTTGCTGAGAATGATGGTTTCCAGCTTCATCCATGTCCCTGCAAAGAATATGAAGTCATCCTTTTTTATGGCTGCATAGTATTCCAAGGTGTTTATGTGCCACATTTTCTTAATCCAGTCTATCGCTGATGGATATTTCGGTTGGTTCCAAGTCTTTGCTATTGTGAATAGTGCCGCAATAAACATACGTGTGCATGTGTCTTTATAGTAGCAGGATTTATAATCATTTGGGTATATACCCAGTAATGGGATGGCTGGGTCAAATGTTACTTCTAGTTCTAGATCCTTGAGGAATTGCCACACTGTCTTCCACAATGGTTGAACTAATTTAAACTCCCACCAACAGTGTAAAAGTGTTCTTATTTCTCCACATCCTCTCCAGCACCTGTTGTTTCCTGACTTTTTAATGATCACCATTCTAACTGGCGTGAGATGGTATGGCATTGTGGTTTTGATTTGCATTTCTCTGATGACGAGCGATAATGAGCATTTTTTCATGTGTCTGTTGGCAGCATAGAATTAATATTCTACCAACCAAAAAAAGTTCAGGACCAGACAGATTCACAGCCGAATTCTACCAGAGGTACAAAGAGGAGCTGGTACTATTCCTTCTGAAACTATTCCAATCAATAGAAAAAGAGGGAATCCTCCCTAACTCATTTTATGAGGCCAGCATCATCCTGATACCAAAGCCTGACAGAGACACAACAAAAAAAGAGAATTTTAGACCAACATCCCTGATGAATATCAATGCAAAAATCCTCAATAAAATACTGGTAAACTGAATCCAGCAGCACATCAAAAAGCTTATCCACCAGGATCAAGTTGGCTTCATCCCTGGGATGCAAGTCTGGTTCAACATATGCAAATCAATAAACGTAATCCATCACATAAACAGAACCAAAGACAAAAACCACACGATTATCTCAATAGATGCAGAAAAGGTCTTTGACAAAATTCAACAGCACTTCATGCTAAAAACTCTCAATAAACTAAGTATTGATGGAACGTATCTCAAAATAATAAGAACTATTTATGACAAACCCACAGCCAATATAATACTGAATGGGCAAAAACTGGAAGCATTCCTTTGAAAACTGGCACAAGACAAGGATGCCCTCTCTCACCACTCCTATTCAACATAGTGTTGGATGTCCTGACCAGGACAATCAGGCAAGAGAAAGAAATAAAGGTTATTCAATTAGGAAATGAGGAAGTCAAATTGTCCCTGTTTGCAGATGACATAATTGTATATTTAGAAAAACTCCATTGTCTCAGCCCAAAATCTCCTTAAGCTGATAAGCAAACTCAGCGAAGTCTCAGGATACAAAATCAATGTGCAAAAATCACAAGCATTCCTGTACACCATTAACAGACAGACAGAGAGCTAAATCATCAGTGAGCTCCCATTCACAATTGCTACAAAGAGAATAAAATACCTAGGAATCCAATTTACAAGGGATGTGAAGGACCTCTTCAAGGAGAACTACAAACCACTGCTCAACGAAATAAAAGAGGACACAAAAAAATGGAAGAACATTTCATGCTCATGGATAGGAAGAATCAGTATCCTGAAAAGTAATTTATAGATTCAATGCTATCCCCATCAGGGTACAAATGACTTTCTTCACAGAATTGGAAAAAACTACTTTAAAGTTCATATGGAACCAAAAAAGAGCCCACATTGCCAAGACAATCCTAAGCCAAAAGAACAAAGCTGGAGGCACCATGCTACCTGACTTCAAACTATACTACAAGGCTACAGTAACCAAAACAGCATGGTACTGGTATCAAAACAGATATATAGACCAATGCAACAGAACAGAGCCCTCAGAAATAATACCACACATTTACAACCATCTGATCTTTGACTTTGACAAACCTGAGAAAAACAAGCAATGGGGAAAGGATTCCCTATTTAATAAATGGTGCTGGGAAAACTGGCTAGCCATATGTAGAGAGCTGAAACTGGATCCCTTCCTTACACCTTATACAAAAATTAATTCAAGATGGATTAAAGACTTAAGTGTTAGACCTAAAACCATAAAAACCCCAGCAGAAAACCTAGAACACCAAAAGCAATGGCAACAAAAGCCAAAATTGACAAATGGAATCTAATTAAACTAAACAGCTTCTGCACAGCAAAAGAAACTACCATCAGAGTGAACAGGCAACCTACAGAATGGGAGAAATTTGTTCAATCTACCCATCTGACAAAGGGCTAATATCCACAATCTACAAAGAACTTAAATAAATTTACAAGAAAAAAACAAACAACCCCGTGAAAAAGTGGGCAAAGGATATGAACAGACACGTCTCAAAAGAAGACATTTATCAGACACACAGACCAATGAAATAGATTTGAGAACTCAGTAATAAATTAATACATCTATAGGGAACTAATTTTTAGCAAAGTTGCCAAGAACATACACTGGGGAAAGGACCCTCTCTTCAATAAATGGTGCTATGAAAACTGGATATCTGTATACATAGGGATAAAACTAGACCCCTTTCTATTGCTTTATACAAAAATCAGATAAAAATGGATTGTAGACATAAATCTAAGACCTCGAACTATGAAACTACTAAGAGAAAACATTGAGGAAACTCTCCAGATATGGGTCTTGGCAAAAAATTCTTGAGTAATACCCCAAAGCACAGGCAACAAAAGCAAAAATGGACAGATGGGATGGGATCACATCGAGTTAAAATGCTTCTGCATAGAAAAAGAAACAATGAAAAAGTGAAGAGACGACCCACAGAATGGGAGAAAATATTTGCAAACAACCCATCTGAAGACAGTTTAATACTCAGAATATATGAGGAGCCAGAACAACTCAATAGAGAAAAATCTACTAATTTAGTTAAAAACGGGCAAAAGATTTGAGTAGGTATTTCTTAAAAGAAGACAAACATATGGCATACAGATGTATGAAAAGACGCTCAATGTCAGTGATCATCAGAGAAACACAAATCAAAACTAAAATAAAATATCTCACACTCGATAAAATGACGTATATCCAAAAGACAAGCAATAACAAATGCTGATGAGGATGAGGAGAAAAGGGAACCCTTGTACACTGTTGGTGGAATTGTAAATTAGTGTAGCCACTATAGGGAACAGTATAAAGGTTCCTCAAAAAACTAAAAATGGAACTACCATATTATCCAGCAATTCCCACTGCTGGGTATATACCCAAAAGAAAGGAAATGAGTATATCAAAGAGATATCTGCACTTTATGTTTGTTGCAGCACTGTTCACAATAGCTAAGATTTGGAAGTAACCTAAGTGTCCATCAACAGATGAATGGATAAAGAAAATGTGGTACATATACACAACGGAATACTATTCATTTATAAAAAAGAATGAGATCCTGTCATTTGCAGCATCATAGATGGGACTGGGGAACATTATGTTAAGTGAAATAAGCCAGGCACAGAAAGACAAATTTTACATGTTATCACTTATGTGTGGGAGTTAAAAATTAAAGCAATTGAAATCATGGAGATAGAGAGTAAAATTATGGTTCCCAGAGGCTGGGAAGGGTAATACAGAGAAGCAGGGAAAGGTAGGGACTGTTAGTGGGTTTAAATATATAGTTAGATTGAATGAATTAGATCCAGCATTGCTAGCACAATAGGGTGACTATAGTCAACAATAATATTTTGTACATTTAAAAATAACTAAGAGTATAATTGGAATGTTTTTAATATAAAGAAGTGATCAATGTTTGAGATGATGGATACTCTATTTACTCTGGTGTGATTATTACACATTGTATGCCTGTATCAAAGTATTTCCTGTACCTCATAAATATGTACACTTCCTATGCACCCATACAAATTTAAAAATTTAAATAAAATAAAAAATAAATATCCCTCTATTGTACATATGGTTTTTAGTCCATTGCTTCTGCTCATATATTTATCTTTTTTGCAACTTTGTTTGGGTTTAATTGGCTAAAATTTTTTCTTGCTTCTTCCAATCAGATCTTAGATTGATGATTTTCAACCTTTCTTCTTGTCCTATATATTCATTTAAAGCTGTAATTTCCCCCCAACCATTATTTTAGCTGTATCTTATAAGTCCTGAAACAACATTTTCAATAGTATTAGGTACAATATGATTTCTTGTTTGCATGTGTTAAGATGCTAAGAATATAAATAGCCTGTGAGACCCTTGGTGAGAATATATGTAAAATTTCTCTTACTTGAAATAAGTGGACTTCTTTAGTAAACACATAGGTGTCACAATTCTGTGTGTAGAGAGCATTTCCTTATTTTTAGGGTAAAACATGGGATACCAAGACTGTGAGTTGCTGTGAGAATTATTATATTGAAACATAAGCCATTTCCCAAAATGATTAAAGTCATTTATCAGTGGTTTATGACAGAAGGATCAATTAAATGATGCTACACCTAAATTTTCTAAAGAAAACCAGTAGATTTAATGACATTACTTTAAAGGTGCAGATTCAAAGAAGCTTGTGAAAGGCCAAGAGCAAAGATGTTATTTCTAGTTCAGCTGTGAAAATATCATTTAGGAAAGTTGTTTATCATGCTGTTTATAGCACACAGTAGCCCAGAGAAATTTACATATCACTCAACACTTCACTATTATAAACCCTTCTTGTACAGACAAAAATGCTAACTTCTAGAGAAGAAATACAGATTTGATCATTAGAAGACCTAAAGACACATATAGTTAATTGAGGAAAGCCAACAATGAAGGCCTAAATCTCAAAGAGCTGCAACATAATGCATTTAAACTTCACATTTGCACATTATATCATGAGGGCAAATTATCGTATCTTGTAGAGAACACCAGAGAAAAATATCCGCTCAAACAGGGCTCTAGATAATCACTCAATTGGACAAAATAAATTATAACTTCATTATACCATTAAATCCTCTAACTTACTTAGGACTTAACCCTTTCTATCATGTGCCACTATGAGATTCTTCTTCAAGAAGAATCATTACCTTGTTCAAACCATTTGTCTTTCCATTACTTATGATTACGCAGAGGTGCCCTTTCTCTGCCCTTTTATTTCCAGTAAGTCACCTATAATTACCAAAAAGTTTCCTGTCTGCAACATCACTGCATCACTAAAAGCAATAGACCTTTATCAGGCTATCTAGTTAATCTTAGCCATAATGACAGAACTTGTAATATTATAAAATTAAATCCATTTTATAGCTCATTTTATAGCTCCAGGGTTAGTTGTAACAATGGTAGCTCCTGTGTGATTAGATTAACACATCTTTTACTAAACATGTAAAACATTTGTTCAGCTATGTTTTGCTAGTGATTTTAATATTCTTCACCACTTCAATCAATCACTAAGTCATCTACAATAACTCAAATGGAAATAACAAGAAATACTAGTTATATTTGAACTATGTCTTCTCTGAATTTTGCTGGATACACATGGATATATACACTCACATAATAAAGTCTTCATTTAGTTTTAATTCATTTCACATTAGTCTGCCAAAAGATGTCTTCATATTGATTTATTGATACTTAATGACTAAGAGTTTTAGTTTTTCCCTTTTTATTGGCTTTTCAGTAAAAGGAAACAGCTAGCAGAAACACTATCCCAAAGGAAAAGGAATTATCAATGACTGTTGAACAAGCATTATCTTTATTTAATGTAGTTTCACTTATAAGAAAGCATTTGAAACCCAGTAAAGTATCCATTTACAAATGTTATTTCAGTTTGCATTTGCAACTTGAATTCAGTTCAATAAATTAAATGTAAGCAATTGGTCTATTTTCTTTATGGTAAGATTCAGAAAACATAAGACAAGAAAGTTGGGTCTTCTTTAACGTTATATATTAAGTAATCTGAAGTTAGGTATAAAACATGTTTCCCATGCAGTGCAGTTAGAGAAATCAATAGAAAATAAACAATTTTTAATAACTATGATATGTTCCAATTTAACTTACAGTTCCTGTGTATGGCTAGACTTTGTACTCTAGCACTGACATCTGGACAAAAGAACATAAAGACAATAGATATGTGTTTGGGGTCCTCTCTGAGCTTCAGTGAATTCATTGAAATAATTAATGAATTAATTATATGACAATAAATCAGCAATTTATAAAATCTGGGTCTTTAGCCATTCTCTGTTAATTGGTGATATCACTTGCCCAACTCAACTACTTATGAAAATAAGATGATCTACCAGTATGAAAGGGCTTTATCAAGGAAAGGCCTTTATATATGAGATATTATTAAATAAAGTTTCTCTCCTCATGATTACTAAAATGAGCCCATCCAGCCCTTTGCTTTCAACCCTATTTCTGCAATGAAAATAAATCTTCCATTTCTTTGCATTTCTTGACACTACTTTGTCAGGGAGGCCTTTTCTCTTCCTCACAATCCAAATTCCCCTCATCCTTCAAGATTTGTTCTAACTCCCCCTGCATGGACATTTCCCCTACTTTTCCCCATGTGTACTGATCTCTTTTATTGTATACTCACTGTCCCAACAACAAGAGTCACTTGCATTTTCTGAGTAATATTAAATTATATAAATAATTTTTTTCTTAGGATATCAAAATGGATCATAAACCTAAGTATAAAACTTCACCAAAGCTAAGAACGTCTATTTTTAAGTAGATATCATTAAACAAATAAAAAGAGAAGCCATGAACTAGGAGAAAATCTTTGCAGATTCTAACAAATGATTTATCCCCAGAATTTAAAAAGAACTCTCAAAATTCAATACTAAGAAAAGAAACAACCTAATAAGAAGTGAGGAAAAGCTTTAAACAAACACTTCATTGAAGATGATATATGAATGACAAATAAGCACATGATAAGATATTCAACATTATCAGTCATTAGAGATATAAAAATTGAAACCATCAGTACCTGGCCCAAAGTTAGGCTTGAGAAATGAATATGTTTTGTAAATCAATCAAAAGTCCAATAAATATATTGAAAGTTAAGATAAAGTGTTTTCCAACCTCTATTTTGAACAATCCCAATGTATCTTGGGTTATTCAAAGATGTGAAAATATCAACTCTAAAATTTAAATTATTTTCTGTTTAACTTAGGATAATAAATAAATGCCAAAAAGTATTCTTATAAATAGGAAAATGTTGAACATTTTATAATAGAGAAGTAGTGAACCATTATGATAAGTAAAGGGGTCAGATTATATAAAAATGTTTTCCATTGACACCTAATTACTTTGCATGATTTGATGTGAAATATTATTGTATTTCAGCTATCATCTACTCAAGGGAATCACTTTATGTGAATGTAACACCATCCATCATCTTGTTAGTTTAGTCCAGTTTTTATTGTCTCTTATGAACATTCATAGCCTTTTCCCAAACAAATGATGCCAGGAGAAAGCAATACCTCCAATACATATGACCTTAAGAGCACCATGATATTAAATAGTTGATTTTCTGACTTGGTCTTGAGTAAAAGGTATCTCTATCTCTAATTTAGTTTAATCAGACTGGCCTGGTTCTTTAAGAGTTGAGAAAGAGGAAATGTCTGCTCTATAAAATGGGGTTTCTAATCTGGCAAGTAACTGTTTTAAAATGTTTACTCTGCCTTTTTGCTCATCTGTATTTGACTGAAAATGATTTGATCAGTGAGGTGAACATTGAAGGGAAATAAAAAAGCAGATAGAAAAGAGAAAACAGGAAATTAAGAGAGGTAAGTGCATGGAAAAATAAGGAGCTAAATATTATAATGTATTCATTTTAAATAAGATTATTATAAAGCTATGTATTTAAAGGTATATTATATGAAAGAGGAAATGTATTTTAAAAATACCAAACTTCATTTATTACCAAGAGAGCAGAAAAAAAACAGAAAAACATAAGGATGTGTTAAGGAGGAGAGAAGTTCTAAAACAAAACTTTTTTTCAACTTTTCAAATTTTTTATGTCATTAGAAGGCAAAAAAAGGCAGCAGCCAGCTAGAGGCAGACTCCTTTCTTCCCAAGCTGAATATACTACTTGAATATATGAATATGTGAAGGCTTTGGCTAACACCCTAAAGGGGGCATTCTGCAATAAACAACCTGATACCCTTTTGTCTTGTCACACAATACCAAAACTCTTCACAATAATTTTAAGATATGCTCTGCTGTTTTGTACACAGGTAAAGTTCCCACTATTGTATTTGTAAGAACAGGTCGAGCACACTTCGTTTAAGTGGAAGAGCTCTGTTCACTAGGTAGTTCTTAATTTCCTTTTCTTTTTTTTAACTTTTATTTCAGTTTTGGGGGTACACGTGAAGGTTTGCTACATAGGTAAACATGTGTCATGGAGGTTTGTTGTATATATTATTTCATCGCCCAGGTATTAAGCCTAGTACTCAATAGTTATCTTTTCTGTTCCTCTCCTCCTACCCTCAAGTAGACCCCAGTGTCTGTTGTTTCCTTCTTTATGTTCATATATTCTTATGATTTAGTTTCCACTTACAAGTGAGAACATGCAATATTTGTTTTTCCGTTTCTACGTTAGTTTGCTAAGAATAATAGCCTCCACCTCCATCCCTGCTCCAGTAAAAGACATGATCTTATTATTTTTTATGGCTCCATAGTATTCCATGGTGTATACATACCATATTTTCTTTATCCAATCTATCATTGCTGGGCATTTAGGTTGATTCCATGTCTTTGCTTTTGTGGATGGTGCTACAATGAACATTCACACGTATGTGTCTTTATGGTAGAATGATTTGTATTCCTCTGAGTATATACCCAATAATAAGATTGCTGGGTTGAATGGTACTTCTGATTTTAGCTCTTTGGGGAATCACCATGATGCTTTCCACAGTGGTTGAACCAATTTACACTCCTACCAACATTGTATAAGTTTTCCCTTTTCTCTGCAACCTCACCAGCCTCTATTATTTTTTTACTTTTTAATAATAGCCATTCTGAATGGCATGAGATGGTATCTCATTGTGATTCTGATTTGCATTTCCCTAATGGTCAGTGATATTGAGCTTTTTTTCATATGCTTGTTGGCCTCATGTATGTCTTATTTTTTGGTTTCATATGAATTTTAAAATATTTTTTTCCAGTTCTGTGAAGAATGTCATTGGTAGTTTGATAGGAATAGCATTGAGTCTGTACATTGCTTTGCGTTGTATAGCCATTTTAATAATATTGATTCTTCCTATCCATGAACATGGGATGTTTTTCCATATGTTTGTGTCTTCTCTGATTTCTTTGAGCAGTGTTTTGTAATGCTCATTGTAGAGATATTTCACCTCTCTGGTTAGCTGTATTCCTAGGTATTTTATTCTGTTTGTGGCAATTGTGAATGGGATGCCTTTCTGATTTGGCTCTCAGTTGGGCTGTCATTGGTGTATAGGAATGCTGGTGATTTTTCTACATTGATTTTGTATCCTGAAACTTTGCTAAAGTTGTTTATCATCTGGAGCTTTTGGACTGAGACTATGGGGTTTTCCAGATATAGAATCATGTCATCTGCAAACAGAGATAGCTTGACTTTATCTCTTCTTATTTGGATGCCTGTTATTTCTTTCTCTTGCCTGATTGCTCTAACCAGGACTTCCAATAATATGTTGAATAGAAGTGGTGAGATAGACAATTCTTGTCTTGTGCCAGTTTTCAAAGGGGAATGCTTCCAGCTTTTTCCCATCAGTATCATGTTGGCTGTGGGTTTATCATAGGTGGTTGTTATTATTTTAAGGTATATCCCTTCAGTACCTAGTTCATTCAGAGTTTTTAATATTAAGGAGTGTTTAGTTTTATCAAAAGCTTTTGCTGCATCTATTGAGATGATCATGCATTTTTGTCTTTAGTTCTGTTTATGTGATGAATTGCATCTATCGATTTGCATATGTTGGACCAACCTTGCATCCTGGAAATGAAGCCTATTTGATCATGGTGGATTTGCTTTTTGCAACTATTTTGTTGTGGATTTTTACATCGATGTGTATCAAGGATACTGGCCTGAAGTTTTCTTTTTTTGTTGTGTCTCTGACAGGTTTTGTTATCAAGATAATGCTGACTTCATAGAATGACTTGGGAAGGAGCCCCTCCTCATTTTTTTTGGAATAGTTTCTGTAGGAATGTATTAGCTCAAATTTTTCAATGCAATCTTTAAAAAGTAAAATTCAAAACACACAACAGCTTAATAAGAGAGTAGAGATTTTGGATTATTTTTAGGTGGTTCCTCATCCCCAATTTTTTTTAGAGATTAATTTAAAACAAAATAACCCAATGTGCATTTTAGAGTGTATGTATGTATATTATTTATATATATTAATTTAATAGTGATCCTTTGCTGGATACATACCTGAAAGAAAATAAAACATGCTACCAGAAAGACACATGCACTTGTATGCACATTGCTATGCTATTCATAATAACAAAGACATAGAATCAATGTGAGTGCCCATGAATGATAGATTGGATAAGAAAAATGTGTAAATGTTTACCATGGAATACTATGCAGCAATGAAAAACAACAAAATCATGTCCCTTGCAGCAACATGGATGCAGATGAAGGATATAATCCTAAGCAAATTAATGCAGGAACAGAAAACCAAATACTGCATGTTTTTACTTATAAGTGGGAGTTAAGCATTGAGCACACATGGACATAAATATGGGAAAAAAGACACAGGTGACTACTAGAAGATGGAGGGACGTGGGTGGGTTAAAAAAAAAACTACTTATTCGATACTATGCTCACTACCGGGGTGATGAGATTTGTACTCCAAACCCCAGCATTATGCGGTATTCCCATGTAACAAATCTGCACGTGTACTCCCAGTATCTAAAATAAAATGTGAAATTAAAAGAGACATTATTTTGGCTTTAATTTTTAAAAATATTTTGGCACCTGCCAAAATATTTAATTGGTAATGCAGTTATGCTATGGGGCTATGGAGCTACCACTATACTATAAAGATTATGCTGAAAGGTTATCTATTGTGTCATAATGTATTGTCCCAAAACTTTGTGGCCTAAAACAACACAGATTTATTATCTACTGTTTTCTGTGGGTCAGGAATTGAGACATGAGTTACAATTGTCCTCTGCTTTAGGGTCTGTCACAGAGCTGTAATCAAGACTCAACTGTGAAAAGTTCTGCTTGCATGGCCATTGGCACTTCTTGTGGTTTGTTGGACTGTTGACCACAGTTCTTTGCTGATTATTGATTGAAGGCCTCCCTCAATTCATTGCCTTGTGGGCTTCACTATACGTCAGCTCATAGCATGACAGCTTGCAAGTCAGAGTGTGAGCAAGTAAATAATCAATCTCTTATAATTTGAACTCTGAATTGACATCCCATCACTTTTTCCATACTCTACTCATTAGGAGAAAGTTAGGTGGACCAGCCTATACACAAAGAGAGGGGGTTACATAGAATATGAATATCAGGAGACAGGGATCACTGAGAATCATGTCAGAAGCTGCCTACCGCATATAAAAGAAACACTACATCATAGGCCACCTATAATCCATCAGCAGCAGTAGCATCTTGAAGGATACTAAATGTTTATTGATTCCTTCCAATGTACAGTGCATTGGTCTCAAGTGTTAAGATACAAATAATACTGTCAGTTTTTAAGAAAGACAACTGCAAACACAGATGAATTTTACCCTAAATATATGTTTCCTTTTTGAATAAAATAGTAATTTAATAAATAAGAATATTGAAATTGTATATTTGAATATTCAAATTTAGGAAAGATGTATTAGTGTATTCTTTAGAATGTGGTTAGATTTAACTTTTTAGAATTCAGCTAGTGACACAGGAATACAAAGTGCTGAAAAATATTACAATTCTATATGAACTGATTTGTGTGGTACCTGAGTCAAAGATGTATTATGATGCACAAACTCAAAAAGCTTTTTACGCTGTAATGGTAAATGCCATTACCAAGTTGTGTGTTTCTGTTTTTCATAGAATTCCATGCTAAAAATGAGCTTTTTTGGATATGCCACTTTGAGCTATATTTTTCTTTACAGCATTCCAAAAGAATAGGAGTTTAAATATGAGAAACATATAATACAAAGAGCTATATTTGTAAATGTAATGTACATAGACCTAATTTATAGTAGCTACATAGAAAGCCAATTAGTTGATCCTAAATTTTAGTTTCTTTAGAATCCAGAAAAGATTGTAAGGTCTTCTGGGTTCATTATGTTACCTCAATTGTATTTCTGATTTGCTTCCATCGTAGCCTTTATTATTATAGTTGCATTCTAGTTATTTGCTAAATTAATAAACTAATGGCCATAATACCTTCCTGGACTAACTCTAGGTCCAGACTACTTTAGGAAAATGAGATTTGACTGCCTTGATTAGAGATAGAACCTAGTAAGAAATTTTTTCCTCAGGGGTTGAGCAGTGGCAAATGCTTGAGCAAGAGCTTGGAGCCATGGCCTTTAGAAGAACACTTTTTCTTAAAAACTGCTGACTTTACATTTAACACTATTCACATCTTTGATATTTCATCAAATACAAATGTCTGGTTTCAGATGAGTCTGGTTTAGAAAAAGAACTTTAAAAAAGGGTAAAGTATTCCATTTCTTCTAAAAGAAATAATTCATATATACATAATCAAGTGGTAAATTTATATTTTACATCTAGCTATACTATCATATAACAGGTTGAATAAATAACATATCACATCTTTATCAAAAATTAATTGACCATAAATGAATGGATTTATATCTAGGCTCTCTATCCTCTTCCACTGATCTACGTATCTATGTCAGTACCAGAATGTTTTGATTATTGTTGCTTTGTTCTTTTTGCCCAAGAACAAATGGCTATTTGTGGTATTTTTGTGGTTTCATATGAATTTTAGGATTACTTTTGCATTTCTGTAAAAACTATAATTTGAATTTTAATAGAGAATTCAATCTACATTGAATATGTAGATTGCTTTGAGAGGCATGGGCATTTTAGCAATATTAATTCTTTCCATTCATGAAGATGAGATGCCTTTCAATTTATTTGTATATTTTAAATTTTCCTTCAAAATATTTTGTAGTTTTCAGCATACAAGTGTTTCACCTCATTAGAGTTTTCTAATTTCTTCAGGAATTTAGAAAAATAGTATCATTTACAGTAACATTAAATTATAAATTAGATTATATTTCTAATTAAAATAGCACTATTAATTTTTAGGTGTTGATTGGTATCCTATAACTTTACAGATTGTTTTTTATTAGTTCTAACTTTTTTTTTTTTTGGTGGAGTCTTTCATGTTTTCTCTGTATAAGATCATGTTGTCAGCAAACAGAAACAATTTAACATTTTCCTTTTTCATTTGGATGCCTTTTATTGTATTACCTTGCCTAATTGCTCACTACAAATTCCAGTACTGTGTTGAATAGAAGTGTTGACAGTGGGCATTCTTGGTAAGTTCTGGATTGGAGAGAAAAAGCTTTCAATTTTTTCCATTGAGTGTGTTGGTATGATGTTAGCTGTGGGCTTGTCATATGTGGTCTTTAATATGTTGAGATACTTTTCTTCTGTTCCTAGTTTATTTTGTCTCTGTCACTCAGGCTGGAGTGCAGTGGCATGATCTCTGCTCACTGCAACCTCAGCCTCCTGGGCTCAAGCAATCGTCCTATGTCAGCCTCCTGAGTAGCTGGGACGGCAGGTGCATGCCACTATACCTAGCTAATTTGATTTATTTTTGGTAGAGGTGGTGTTTCACCAACCTCTACCAAAAATAAAGGTGAGCAGATCACTTGAGCTTAAGAGTTGCACGCCCAGCTGGGTCTTGAACTCCCAAGCTAAAGCAATCTGCCCACCTCGGCCTCACAAAGTGCCGGGATTACAGGCATGAGCCACAGCACCAGCTATTCCTAGTTTATTGAGGGTGTTGTATAATGAAAAGGAATTTAATTTTGCCAAATGGCTTGTCTGCATCTACTTAAATTATCATGTGATATTTTCCCTCTATTCCTTAATGTGTTGTATAACATAATTAATTTTTGAATGGTCAACCATCCTTGCATCTCAGGAATAAAAACAAACTTGCTCATGGTATATGGTCCTTTTATTGTGCTATTGGATTCAGCTTATTTGTACTTTGTTGATAATTTTTGCATCAATAATCATTGACCGGCAGTTTTATTTATTTTTTATTTTTTGTGGTATCATGGTATCATCTGACTTTGGTATCATGGTAATGTTGATCTCATAAAATGAGTTTGGAAGTGTTTCTCTTCAATTGTTTGAAATAATTCAAAACTGATTGCCACATGTTCTTTAAATGTTTGCTAGAATTCATAATTGAAACCATTTGTTCCTGGCTTTTCTTTATTGGGATTTTCTTTATTACAGATTGAATCACCATATTACTGATAGATCTGTTCAGATTTCTTTCTTTTTCTTCATGATTCAGTCTAGATAGGTTGTATGTCTCTAGAGATACATTCATTTGTTGCAGACTATATTGTTTGTTGGGATAAATTGTTCATAGTTGTTTCATGATTTTTAGTTTCTGTGGTATCAGTTACAATGTTTTCTTTTATTTCTTATTTTATTTATTTGAGTCTTCTGCCTTTTTTTCTTATTTAATCTAGGTAAGGATTTGTCAATTTTGTTTATCATTTTAAAAATCCAACTCATAGTTTTGTTGACATTTCCTATTGTTTTTGTACTTCTTATTCCTTATGTAATCTTTGCTATTATTTTTCTTCTGCTAACTTTGGGTTTAGTTTGTTCTTCATTAGCTCTTTGAGGTTCAAGGGTAGGTTGTTTAGTTGAGATCTTCTTTTTTAATGTAGGCATTTATTACTGTAAACTTCCCTCAGTATTTCTTTTGCTGCATCACGTAAGTTTTGGTATGTTATGCTTTTGTTTTCATTTGTCTTGAAGTATTTTCTAATTTCCTTTTTAATTTCTTCTTTGACCCAAAGGTTGTTCTAGGATGTTATTTAATTTCCACATATTTGTAAATTTTCCATGATTCCTCCTGTTATTGATTTCTGATTTTACTCCATTGTGGTCAGAATAGATGCTTGGTATAATTTCAGTCTTCTTAACTTTTTAAAGACTTCTTCTGTGATCTAACATGTGAACTATTCTATAGTTCTATGTGCACTTGATAAAATTGTTTATTGTATTACTGTTTGGAAGGATAATCTGTATATGTCTGTTAGATCCATATGACCTGTAGTGTTGTTCAGGTTCTCCATTTCCTTATTGATCTTTTGTCTGGATGTTCTATTCAGTACTGAAACTGAGGAATTGAACTCTCCTACTATTATTATATTGCTATGTATTTGTCCCTTCAGTTCTGTCAATATTTGCTTTATACAGTTAGGTGATCTGATGTTAGGTGCATATATATTTATAATTGTTATTTCTCCCAGTGTATTGGCCTTTTTATTGTTATATAATATCTGTCTTTGTCTCTTATAACATTTTTTTTAGTTAAGTCTATTTTTTTTCTGATGTAAGTTTAATTGCCCCTTCTCTCTACTGGTTACAGTTTGCATGGAATTTTTTCTTCCATCCCTTCAGTTTCAGCCTATATATGTCCTTAAAGTGAGTTTATCAAGAACAGCAAATAGTTGGACCCTGTTTTTTCTTTCTAATTCATTCATCCATTCTATGTCTTTTGATTGAGAAGTGCAACATATTAACACACTTAAAGTAATTATTGATAAAGATTTACTAACACCATTTTGTTAATTACTTTCTGTTAGTCTTAACAGTTCTTTATTCTGCTTTCCCTTTCTTCCTGTCTTCCTTTGTTTGTTTTTTAAAAAAACGTTTGTATTGATAGGCTTTGATTACTTTTTTTAAAAAAAATATAACTACGATAGGTATTTTTTGTGGTTACCTTGAGGTTTACAAAAAATTTGTTGTAGTTATAATAGTCTTATTTTAAACTGATAACTTACATTTAATCATATACAATAACTCTACTCTTAACTTATTTCTCCTCCAACACTGTGTTATAGTTATCACAATTTACTTCTCCTCACATTGTGTATCTTTTAACATATTTTTGTTATTATTTTAATACTTTTGTCTTTTATACTAGAACTAAATGTGATCAACTTGTTACCATTACAGTAATACAATATTTTGTAATTGTCTACATATTTGCCTTTACCAACATTTCCATACTTATATGCTATAATGTCGTTATTTAGTATCATTTTATTTCAACTTAAAGAACCCCCATTAGTATTTCTTGTAAAGTAGGTCAAACAGTGATGAACTATATAAGCTTTTATTTGTCTAGAATTGTCTTTACCTCTCCTTGATTTTTGGACAGTTGTGCTAAGTATTTTATTCTTGTCAGTTTATTTTTCCTTTTAGTACTTTGACTATGTTTTCCCACTCTCTTCTGCCTGTGAGGTTTCTGCTGAAAAATCTACTTATAGACTTACAAAGATTACCTTATATGTGATAAGTCGATTTTCTCTTGATGCTTCAAATATTCTTGTCTTTGTTTTTTTGACAATTTGTTTACAATGTATTTTGGTGATTTGATTGAATTCATTGTATTTCATTTATTTATTTATTATTATTATTTTATTTATTTATTTGTTTTTTTGAGCTACAGTCTCGCTCTGTCGCCCACGCTGGAGTGCAGTGGCGCATTCTCGGCTCACTGCAAGCTTCACCTCCCAGGTTCACGCCTTTCTCCTGCCTCAGCCTCCTGAGTAGCTGGGACTACAGGCGCCCGCCACCACACCTGGCTAATTTTTTTGTATTTTTAGTAGAGACAGGGTTTCACCGTGTTAGCCAGGATGGTCTCGATCTCCTGACCTCGTGATCCACCTGCCTCGGCTTCCCAAAGTGCTGGGATTACAGGTGTGAGCCACTGCACTCAGCTTGAGCCATCACACTCGGCCCATTTCTTTAGGGCTTCTTATATCTATGTATTCATTTTCTTCCCCAGATTTGGGAAGTTTTCAGCCATTATTTATTTGAAATTGCCTTCTGATTCTTTCTTTCTCTCTCTTCTCATAGTATCCCTACAGTGTATATACTGGTATGCTTGACAGTGTCTCATAAGACCCTTCAGCTTTCTGCATGCTTTTTAATTTTTTATTCTTTTTGCTCCTCTGACCAAATTATTTTTAGTGTGCTGTCTTTTGAGTTTGCTAATTCTTTCCTTTGCTTAATGTAGTCATCTGTCGAAGCCTCTGGTTAATTTTTTAGTTCAGTTATTGTGGTCTTCAGCTCTATGAATTTCATTTACTACTGCTTTATAATTTGTATTTCTTTGTTGACGTTCTCACTTTTTTCATGCACTGTTTCTTGACTTTGATGAGTGTCTTTATGACAATTATTCTGAATTTACTTTTATTGATAGTCAAATAACTTCATCTTATTAGGGTCAGTTTCTGGAGATTTATGTTGTTCCTTTGTTTGGAACAGGTTTGCCTGATTCTTCTTTAGTGTGTCTATTTCTGCACGTTGGACAAAGCGGCCACCTCTCCTACTCTTCATGGACTGGCCTCATATAGAAGAAGACTGCCACTAATTGCCCCAGCCAGAGATTCTTATGTTCTTTAAAACTTTCTTGAGAGTCAACCCACTTTCTTTGTTCTTTGCAACCCCCAGGCATCTTGAGTATGCCTGAGCTTGTAAGTGCACTGAGACAAAACTAAAGCCTACTCCTTGGATGGTATCCAGAAAAGTTAAATTGTTGGATGTTATATCCAACTGATTTCCTTTCCAGTGAGAAGCTGGAAGCTGGGAATTTTCATCTACTTGGTCTGTGCTAAACCAGTAGTGGGGGTCTATGGTGACTGCCTTTCCAAATCTCTGTCCTTGTACTCACTCTCTCCCAGGGGGCTAGATTATACCAAGTCCCACTAGTACTCTGAGGCAGGCAAATCAGAAGCCAGTCCCCAGAAAAGCTGTGGTATTTGATGTCTGGCCTAACTCTCTCACTCCCCAGGGAAAAGCAGGATACTATGGTTTACTCTATGCTGTGCTGGAAGGTAGAGCTAAGGTGTCTACCAGTAAAAGTTCTCTCCCAGACAGCTAGACTGTGCCAGACCCATCATAAATTCAAGACTAGCAGCAAAGGTGCAAGTTCTTGGGAAGCCCTGGAAAAGTTGGGGCATTAGACTTACTGATCAATTTTTTTCTCCCAGAGGAAAGCTGAGAGCTGGGAATTTTTATCTGCTCACTCTGTGCTGGGTAGGGGGAGGAGTTATAGCATTTAACAGTCCAGGCTGCTATTGCCATTCTCCCCCAGGTGGCTAGACTATGTTGAACCTGTCAGAGCTCCAATACTGGCAAGACGGAAACCCATCCTCTGGTGAGTCCCCTTAGAATAGTTGGGGCTCCGTACATGTGAACTAAACTTCCCTGGAAGAAGCTGGGAGTTAGGAGATCTTCTCCTAATCATACTGCACTGTGCGTCGGTTTGGGATTCCAGTGAGAAAGTGTCCTGAATCTCTGTACTGGCTTCTGAGAGCTTGGTTTTCTATTTTCCTGGGATACAGAAGCTTTTTAATTAGTTTGTTGATTTCTAACAAAGAGAATTTATCCATAAATTGTTGCTGAATTGGTGCATTTGTGGGTGAAGTAGTGTCTAGGGCTTACTACTCTGACATTTTCCTGATGATATCCCCTTATCCAAATTTTGAAGAAAGAAAGGAACACTTCCTAATGCATGAAGACAGCATGACCTTAATACCAAAATCTGACAAGGAGTATTACAAAAGGAGAAATTTGTAAAAAAATATGACAAGCGCATTTACAAAAGAAAATGACCGGCTGATAGCTCAATATCTTTCGTAAACATAGATGCAAAAATCCTATCTCGATAACATACAAAGTACAGCCATATAGAAAAGATAGCTGGTATACTGCAGTTATATTTCTGGAATAACATATATTCCAGGTATGTAAGTTTGGTGTAACATTAAAAAATAATGGTATACATTTCATATAAACAAAATAATGGAAAATAAATGAACTATCTCAATAGATACAATAAAGGTATAAACTCAACACTTATTTATGATAAAAAACTCCTAGTAACCTAAGAATACAAGGTAACTTTTAAAATCTGGTAAAATATATTAACAAAACCCTATAGTTAATATCATACTTTGTAGTGAATTATAGTACTTTTCTTAATGATGAAATATTATTATTCCCAGAATTTATGATATATGTAAGAATGTCCCCATCCCCATTCCATTCAACACTGTACTGGAAATCCTAACAAGTTCCATAAGCCACAAAACAGAAATAAAACTCTAAAATGAGAATTTGATGACTATAATTGATAATATTGTGTTGTATATTTCAAAATTGTTAAGAGAGTAAATTTCAAATTTTTCTTCACAAAATATGTTAAGTATTTGAGGTAATGGGTATGTTAATGAGATTGATTTGATTGTTTCATATAGTATACACATATAACTTTGTACCCCCTAAATACATACAATTATAATTTGTCAGTTTAGGCTGGGCATGGTGGCTCATGCATGTAATCCCAGCACTCTGGGAGGCTGAGGTGGGCGGATCACTTGAGGTCAGGCTTTCGAGACCAGCCTTGCCAACATGGTGAAACCCCATCTCTCCTAAAAATACCAAAATTAGCCGGTCATGGTGGTGCATGCCTGTAATCCCAGCTGCTTGGGAGACTGAGGCATGAGAATCGCTTGAACCCAAGAGATGTAGGTTGCAGTGAGTCAAGATCTTGCCACTGCACTCCAGCCTGGGTGACAGAGCAAGAGACTCTGTCTAAAAAAAAAAAAAAAAGAAAAGAAAAAAGTTTAAAATAAAATAACAAAACTCAAATGATTGAAAGTATAAAAAAGAAAACTCTTAAAGGACATAATTGCATGGGTGGAACATTTTAAAATAATTTGCTAGCAACCCATTAGAATTAATAAATGAATTAAGCAAAGTCACTCAGTTCAAGGATAATTTAAAAAAGAATGACATTTCCATATAATCATAGAAAATAATTGAAAAATAAAATGTAAAATTGCCATTTATACTAACATCAATATTATTACATATATTGCTAGTGAGAGTTTAAATTGTTATAATCACTCCGTGATACTGGCAGTTTCTACTAAATGTACACATAATCTTGCCCCATGACCCAGTAATTTCATACCTAAGTATACATCCAAATGAAATTAATGCATATGTCCATCAAAAGGTTTGGATATTATGTTCATATCAGTATAATTCATAACAGCTCAAAAATGGAAACAACCTAAAAGTCCATCAACTGTAGAATAGCCATTAAACAACAATAGCAAAAAACTCAAAATTCCTGCTATGTACAGCAACATATATGAGATGACTCTCACAGACATAATGATGATCAAAAGGGAACAGAAGCAAAAACGTCTATGCAATTTTATTTCATTCATTTGAAGGTTAGAAACTAAAAAATTAATCTATAGTAAGAGCAAATTATGATCACTCCTTAGGGGTACATAGTATATGTGTAAAATTTTATATATTTACTATACACTTATGATCTATGCAAGTTACTATATATATATATGATACCTGAATAAATATATTTTAAAATGTAAAATTCACAATACACACAACAATAAATATGTATATGTTGCATAACCCACCAAAATTGTCATCAAATTATATAAGCATAAATTTTTAGACATGCAAAAATAATTGTTAGAAACCCAAATTTTTATTGCAAATGTTAACATTCTTTTATATAGCACTACAAAGTTTGGGGTAATAATGCATACATTCCATTGAAATTGTGTCAAGAGTTTAAATAAAGTTATAGATATTATCAGCTAATAAATACAAGATAACATCAATAGTCACCAATGTTATAAATCCAGAATCAGAAAAAGGAAGAGCTCTGATTTTTACAATTAATAGTTAACAGGGTACGCTTATAAAACACAATTGAATTAACTAAAAAAGCCTCAGAAAAATTTGGCCAGGTAATAAAATATAAGAAAGGATTTTTCTTATAGGTGCATAACTATGTAGATAAACTGTGTTTAAAATATTTTATTATACATTGGTGATAACTTTTAAACATACGTGGAAAAAAATAACTTGAAATAACATAAAATATATGAGAATAATTTGAATAAGAAATTCATGAGATTATAAGAAGACTATACTTTTTAAAAATAGATTTTGTATATTTTTAAGAGCAAATTTAGATTTTAGGAAAATTTAGTGGAAGGCACAGAGATTTCCCATATACACTCTCCCCCATGCATACATAGTCTTCCTCATTATCAACATCCATTACCAGAGTGGTACATTTGTTACAACCAAAGAATTTACATGAAGCCCCATTATCATCTAAGGTCAGTAGTTTAAATTAGGGTTCACTTTTCGTGTTGTACACTCCATGAGTTTGAACCAATGTATAATGACATGTATTCACCATTATAGTACCATACAGAGTAGTTCCAGTGCTCTATTCATCCCTCTTCCCTACCACCAATCTTTGACAATCATTGATTTGTATCCATAGTTTTGCCTTTTACAGAATGTCATGTGATTGAAATCATATAATGTGCAGCCTTTTTAGATTTGCTTCTTTCACTTAGTAATATGCATTTAAGGTTCCTTCATGTATTTTCATGCCTTGATAGCTCGTTTCTTTTTACTGCCTAATGATATTCTATTGTATTGATATAGCACAGTATTTTTTTTATTCATTCATCTACTGAAGGACATCTTAGTTGCTTCCAAGTTTTGGCAGTTATAAATAAAGACGTTATAAACATCCGTATGCAAAGTTTTTTTTGCAGACAGTTTTCAATTCATTTGGGTAAATCACAAGAAGCAAAATTATTGGATTGTACAGTAAAATGTATGTTTAGTTTTGTAAGAAACGATTAAACGATTAAACTGTCTTACAAAGTAGGTGTAGCATTTTGCATTCTACCAGCAATAAATGAGAATTCCTGTTTCTCAATTTCCTTGCCAGCATTTGATGTTGTTAGTATTCTGGATCATGGCCATTCTAATGTGTGTGTAGTGGTAATTCATTGTTGTTTTAATTTGCATTTCCCTGATGACATATGACGTGAAGCATGTTTTCACATATTTGCTATGTGTATATCTTCTTTAATGAGGAGACTACAGTATTTTGCCCATTTAAAAAATAGGGTTGTTTGTGCTGTTATGGTTGAGTTTTATAAGTTCTTTATTTTTTTAAGTAACAGTCCTTTATCAGATATGTGGTTTGTTTTGCAAATAATTTCTCCAAGTCTGTGAGTTGTCTTTCCATTCTCTTGATAGTGTCTTTCACAGAATAGAAATGTTTAATTTTAATGATGTCCAGCTTATCAGTTCCTTATTTTATGTGTTATATCTTTTATATTGAAACTAAGTCATAACCAAAGCCAAAGTCATCTAGATATTTTTTCGTATGTTATTATTTTCTAGGAGTTGTATAGTTTTGCATTTACATTTATGTTGTTATCCATTTTGAGTTAATGTTTATAACATATTACAAGTGTGTATGTAGATTCATATTTTGCATGTGAATGTCCAGTTATTCTAGCATCACTTGTTGGAAAACTATCTTTTCTCCATTGTATTGCATTTTTTTCCTTTATCAAAGATTGGTTGACTTTATTTATTTTTTATTGATTTATTTATTTATTATTTATTTATTTTTTGAGACAGAGCCTTGCTCTTGTCACTCAGGCTGGAGTGCAATGGCATGATCTTGACTCACTGCAACCTCCGCCTCACTGGTTTAAGTGATTCTCCTGCCTCAGCCTCCTGAGTAGCTTAGATTACAGGCACTGGTGACCATGCTCAGCTAACTTTTTGTATTATTTTTAGTAGAGATGGGGTTTCACCATGTTGGCCAGGCTGGTCTCGATCTCTTGACCTCAGGTGATCTGCCCACCTCAGCCTCCAGTTGACTATATTTATGTGGTTCTATTTCTTGGCCCTTTATCCATTCCATTGATTGAATCATATATTCTTTCACCAATACCACACTGTCTTGATTCCTGTAGTTTATTAATATGTCTTGCAGTTAGATAGTATCGGGTATGGTTTGGCTCTGTGTCCTCACTTAAATCTCATGTTGAATTGTAACCCTCCATTGTTGGAGGAGTGGCCTGGTGGGAGGTGATTGAATCATGGGGTGGACTTTCCCCTTGCTGTTCTCATGATAGAGTTCTCACAAGATCTGCTTGTTTGAAAGTGTGTAGCACCTACCGCTTTGCTTGCACTTCCTCCTGCCAGGCATGTGAATACTGCCAGCTTCCCCTTCATCTTCCTCTGTGATTGAAAGTTTCCTGAGGCCTCCACAGAAGCAGAAGCCTGTATAGCCTGTGGAATTGTGAGTCAATTAAACCTTTTTTTAAAATAAATTTCCCAGTCTCAGGTATGTCTTTATAGCAGTAAGAGAATGAATTAATACAGTCTTATTTTCCAATTTTATTTTTATTTTTCTGGTTTAATATTGATTTGGCTGTTCTCTGATTTTTGCTTCTTCATATAAACTTTATAGTAAGTAAGTTTGTCAATATCCACAAAATAATTTGTTGGATATATTATTTTTCTGAAAGATATAAAGCTATGGGGTGACTTGATGGAAATATTTATTATATTCCAGAGTAGAGAGAGTTAGTAAAATTATTCTTTGAATTATTCATGATTTTATTTCTATCATAACTATATAGAAAAATTTTAATACTAATAATGATAATAAAATTTGTAATATCACTTTGGAGTATGCATTTAATAATTTTTTCGTTGTGTTCATGTGATTGCACACATTTTTATTTCATAGGATTTAGATCATAAAGTTTTATGAACTATAGCCTCATAATCTGATACTTTCCAATAATATTATGACCAATTTCTTATTAAAATATTAAGAGAACAGTTTTACTAGTAAAACAAAATTACATTTAATACATCATTCGTAATTGACTTGATTTTTTAATCAATTTTTATATTTATTATATAGAAAATATCCCTATAAATGAAAATACATGTAATAAAGAAAGAGGTGTTCATTCTTTTCAAAATTCATTCTTGGGTTTAATGTAATAATTCTAACCAAAATGCCAGTGGGATCAGGGGTAGTAGCTAATGTTTCTAAACTCATGTAAAAAATGGCTAAAATTTTTATTTTATTTTATTAATATTATACTTTTTAAGTTTTAGGGTACATGTGCACAATGTGCAGGTTTGTTACATATGTATACATGTGCCATGTTAGTGTGCTGCTCCCATTAACTTGTCATTTAGCATTAGGTATATCTCCTAATGCTATCCCTCCCCACTCCCCCCACCCCACGACAGTCACCGGAGTGTGATGTTCCCCTTCCTGTGTCCAAGTGTTCTCATTGTTCAATTCCCACCTATGAGTGAGAACATGCATTGTTTGGTTTTTTGTCCTTGCGATAGTTTGCTGAGAATGGTGGTTTCCAGTTTCATCCATGTCCCTACAAAGAAGGACATGAACTCTTCATTTTTTATGGCTGCATAGGATTCCATGGTGTATATGTGCCACATTTTCTTAATCCAGTCTATCATTGTTGGACATTTGGGTTGGTTCCAAGTCTTTGCTATTGTGAATAGTGCCGCAATAAACATATGTGTGCATGTGTCTTTATAGCAGCATGATTTATAATCCTTTGTAATGGGATGGCTGGGTCAAATCGTATTTCTAGTTCTAGATCCCTGAGGAATCGCCACACTGACTTCCACAGTGGTTGAACTAGTTTACAGTCCCACCAACAGTGTAAAAGTGTTCCTATTTCTCCACATCCTCTCCAGCACCTGTTGTTTCCTGACTTTTGAATGATCGCCATTCAAACTGGTGTGAGATGGTATCTCACTGTGGTTTTGATTTGCATTTCTCTGATGGCCAGTGATGATGAGCATTTTTTCATGTGTTTTTTGGCTGCATAAATGTCTTCTTTTGAGAAGTGTCTGTTCATATCCTTTGCTCACTTGTTGATGGGGTTATTTGTTTTTTTCTTGTAAATTTGTTTGAGTTCATTGTAGATTCTGGATATAAGCCCTTTGTCAGATGAGTAGGTTGCAAAAATTTTCTCCAATTTTGTAGGTTGCCTGTTCACTCTGATGGTAGTTTCTTTTGCTGTACAGAAGCTCTTTAGTTTAATTAGATCCCATTTGTCAATTTTGGCTTTTGTTGCCATTGCTTTTGGTGTTTTAGACATGAAGTCCTTGCCCATGCCTATGTCCTGAATGGTAATGCCTAGGTTTTCTTCTAGGGTTTTTATGGTTTTAGGTCTAACATGTAAGTCTTTAATCCATCTTGAATTAATTTTTGTATAAGGTGTAAGGAAGGGATCCAGTTTCAGCTTTCTACATATGGCTAGCCAGTTTTCCCAGCACCATTTATTAAATAGGGAATCCTTTCCCCATTGCTTGTTTTTCTCAGGTTTGTCAAAGATCAGATGGTTGTAGATATGCAGCATTATTTATTTCTGAGGGCTCTGTTCTGTTCCATTGATCTATATCTCTGTTTTTGTACCAGTACCATGCTGTTTTGGTTACTGTAGCCTTGTAGTATAGTTTGAAGTCAGGTAGCATGATGCCTCCGGCTTTGTTCTTTTGGCTTAGGATTGACTTGGCAATGCAGGCTCTTTTTTGATTCCATATGAACTTTAAAGTAGTTTTTTCCAATTCTGTGAAGAAAGTCATTGGTAGCTTGATGGAGATGGTGTTGAATCTATAAATTACCTTCACAATATTGATTCTTCCTACCCATGAGCATGGAATGTTCTTCCATTTGTTTGTATCCTCTTAAAAAATTTAAAAGACATTGAAAAATGAAAGATGGATAATGGAAAATGACTTGTTCTATCTGTCCTATAAAATGCTATATATCCTTTTTAAACTTATTTATTATTGGTGCATTAATAGGTAGACTTGAAGCAGAACAAAGGAACATATGCTGCCGAAGTATGTTTCTGTTGTCCATACCTTTAAATGCCAATCTAACCACCACAAATACCTCCCAAGTAAAGCAAATGTGACAGTCTTCAGGCAGGTGAGCCTGAGGTAGAGCCCAGGACTCTACCAGCTTAGACAGAGACTGGAATAACCTATTGATTCTCTGTGCCAGAGGCAGTGCTTGAGGTCCAGAGGCAGAGATATCTGGGATGAGGATCAGATCATAGTAGAGCCTATAAAAATATTTGTTCTATGGGGTTCTGAGGTCACTCAAGGAAAATAGAGTCTATGGCCTGTGACATTATTAATTGTGAGGACCTGGACATCTCTTTGGCCCCAAGAAATTTGATTCAATTGCATAGTTAGTCTGAGTCCTTACTGCACTAAGGCTGGAGACTACATGAGCAGTTTCATCCAAGAGAACTTGGCAAAAGAGAGGCTTTATCCTGCCACCTGGTCAGAAGACAACCATCTTATCTCTTGGGACACTCACTACTGGTTCAGAGAGGGAAAGTACACAGATTATCTACTGGTAGGTAGACAACTGGAACTACCAGAGGAGACATAAAGCAACTTAAAGCAGACCTTAAGAAGACTAATGAGTACTAAAAACATCTTGGGATAAAAACTCATGCTATTTGAAAGAAGAAATGTTAGGAAATAAATTAAACTGAAGAATACACACACACACATACCCCACCATACATACATATATATATATATATATATATATATATATATATCTCATATATATATGATTACATCATGGGAAACCAAATCGAAAATTTAACTAAAAGCAGAGGAAAAACTATAAAAAGGATTGGAATCATGAAGAAAATGGAGGAAAGATAGTAAACAGAAGAAGAAAAAGAAGCAGATGGAGGGGAGGCAACATTATATGCCTGAGGACAAAAACACAGCTCACAAAGGTAGCAGTAGTTCTGAAATCTCGAGAGGAGAAGATGAAGAATAAAGAACAGTGTTAAGGAATAAACCTTGTAATGTATATATTAATAGTTAAATCTAAATGGATAATGACAGAATGCGCAAGAATATATCAGACAAATATGGAAAAATAAGAAACCTATAGCAGGGAAAAAACTAATAATGGTCCAAAAACCAAACATTTAAGTGACCTCAGCCAAAGTTAGGAGTAGCAGGGACAAAGACATGTTTCTCTAATGTTCTCTTAAAGTTCTCTTGAAATCGTCATGTGATTAGGTAACAAAGAGGGAAAAAAAATGCTTTAAATATTATCTCTTTCTTAAAGTTCTCTTGAAATCGTCATGTGATTAGGTAACAAAGAGGGAAAAAAATGCTTTAAATATTATCTCTTAGTGACAGAGGAAGGAGCAGGAGGAAAATAGACCACCTTGAATAAAGACTTATGGTTTGTATGTTGCTTTGATATAATAGCAGAGAAACAAATTGTGAACATTATAAATTATAAAATAATTCCTTGTTAAATGAAAAAACCAGAACTTTTAAATTAACAAAGGAAAAATTGAGCATGCGTGATCAAAGACTCATAAACAAAAACTGAAGGAGAAATAAAGAAAAACATAAAATACATACACAGCATAAAGTGAGATGGATGTTTTAAAATCACACCAGTTTTTATACTAAATATTGATTTGTGAATTTTCTCACTTTGGAAAAGAGACAATAAGGCTGAGTTAAAAAATAAAACCCATAATGTGTAAGATACCTAGTAAATGCAAGGACCAAAAAAAAGTGATTTTTAAGAGTAACCATTCAAATACAAAAAATAAAGAAAGAGTGGCAAGATCAAATAAAATTTAAAGTTAAAATCAGGATTTGTATCAAATGAAGACAAAAGTCACAGTTTATAAAGTGATGTAACAGTCATAAACCTACATATGGTTTTTAAAATCTACCAAATATAGGAATCATAAATTATAAGACAAGGAAGGAGTTCTTGAAAGATATTAAATGAAAAGAAAGATGTCAATACATTTTTTATGGACAGATTAGTAGACCAAAAATAATTAGTACTACAGAGCAATGTCATTCAATACAAACTAATGCAAGCCCATATGTAATTTTAGATGTTCTAGTAGCCACATTAAAATAAGTGAAAAGAAATAGATGAGATTAATTTTAATAATATTTTTAACTCGTGTCCAAAATATTATCATTTTAACATTTAATTCATTTAAAATTATTTAAATATTTTTGCATTTTTTATACTAAATCTTTAAGATCCTTTGTAGAGTTTACATTACATTTCAATTTAGACTAGTCACATTTCAAGTACAAAATTTATATATTACATACAACTGTTCAATATATACAATGTGGCTAGTACCCATTATTTTGGTCAGCACAATTATAGAGAAATTATATATATAATACAATAACAAACATGATATAAGAGAAATATATAAAATATTTTATCCCCTGAATAGGAAGAATATATTTTCTTCCATGTATATTTAATATTCACAAAATTTAACCATATATTTAGATATAAACAAAGGTTTAACATTTTTTAAATTGGAAGTTTTACCAGTCACATTCTTTGGCTCAGGAAAAATAGGAAATGTAAATGAAGAATGACCAAAATACTCATTCATTAGAGATTTAAAAATACTCCTGAATAATCCCTGGCTCAAAGAGAAAATCAAACTGAAATTCTGTACCTCTGGAAAGCAATGTAAAGAATACTTTATGTCATATTTGACACACAGAAAACTGAAAAGATTTGTTTAGGGTATATTTATTCATTATTAAGGCTGAAAAAGTAAGACTTGGAAAAATTTAATAAACTAGAAATGGAGTAAAATCAACCAAAATTGATTAGTAAAAGAAAACTAATACATATTTTTAAAAGGAGTAAAATGCAAAACAAAAAAAATTAATAAAGGATAAATAAATGTAAGAAATAGGTTTTTGCAAGACATAAACAAAATCTTAACAAGTTTCATCAATTAAAAAGAAAGCTGGCAATAAAAAATAGCACAAGCTTAAGAAGAAAGTAAAATACTTTTTAGAACCTTATTGTAGCACTATGACAGTAAATATTAAATCTAGGGGAAATCGATTCTTTTCAGTAAACTATAACATATGAAAACTAAGAAACAAGTTGAATAGAATAAATAACCACAAAAGAGATTGCAAAGGTGATAGAGGCTGTTTAATTTAACTGCTAAAAGCAGCCTCTCACATCAGAATACCTATGTTCAAATTCATTCTACCAAGTAATAGGTATTTGAGCATAAGCACGTCACATAAGCTTTATCTGCATTGATTTTCCTGTTTGTAAAAAGCAGATAACAATATTTATTAATTCATTAAGTGATTAAAAAGATCAAATGAATTAATAAATATAAAACTTTAAGTTTTCCTGACAGAAAATTTTGTGCAGCTGTTTGCTATCTTTACCATTCCATTTAGTAGCAGGCTCTTTGAAGAAAAAAAATCAATTACTCAAATATCACAGATCATAAAAATCATAGGATTGTTTTCTATTATGACATTAGTACTCAAGCATATTAGTAAAATGGTAAAGATAATCATTCTTTATGAACTTATAGTAAAAGACCTAAAATAACATGTAATCCATCAGAGCATGAAAAAAAATACAATATCAAGCAGATTTATTCCAATAACCCAAGGAGGGTTCAAAAGCATTAATTTCAAAGAAAGAAGTCATATAATTATGTCAATAATTACTGAAAAGGCATTTGATAAGATACAGACACCATTCCTAATAAAACATAAGCAAAATAAGAATAGATGGAAATGACCATAATACAATAAAGTAACTTACCCTGAACCACATACCACCTGCAAATTGTGAAATACTAAATTCAATTCTAGACAACCAGGAAAAGGAGAGGAGTGAGCAGTTGAATAGAATGTAATTATTTACTCAGAGATGATAGAATTACACCTTCATAAAATGAGAGTCTAGTAAAAACCAATGAAATTACTAAAGTTTGCAAGTGACTTGATGTCATATAATTTTTAAAATTTGCTCTATGCTAGCATTAAGTACCTTTAAATGGAAATGGGAAGCTTCCATTTATAAAAGCAACCAATATAAAATAATTAGGGATCAGTTTAATGAAAAGTATAGTACTTATATGAATAATGTAGCATTATATTTAGACATAAAATAATGTGTAATAAAAAGAAAAGATCTATTTTGTTATTTTATAAGAATATTTTGTATCCTCAAAAGTTAAATCTACCTTAAATTAGAGTAATGTCCATTAGAAGCTTTTGCAATTCCATTAGAACCTTCATAGATTTCTTTGAACTCTATAAAATAATCTTCAAGTATATATGGAAAAATAAACGTCAAAAATCAAGAAAACAAGAAATAAGAAGATGTATGAGATCATGGCTCATCAAATTAATATATAATATAATTCTTTTAGTCATGAGTAAATCATACTGCTTAGGCATAAAGCAATACTTCAGCAGAAGAGATTATAAAATACAGTTAAATATATACACGAACAAATACAATGGGGCAATAAATGGTACAGCAAACTGCTCTCTGGAAATAAGTAAGTAGGACCTTCTAATTTACTCTATGTGTTCAAATAAATTATAGCAATAGTAAAACTTTACATGTAAAATTATAAAACAAGCATATTTTTAAAAATCTTAGTAGACAATATTACAAAACCTTGGGGCTGGGAATATTTTTTAACTGAAACAAGACTTTATATATCCAAGTGGATGGATGACTAGCTAGACTGAAATAAAGGTGTATAGATATTCCTTTCTAAAAAAATGAAACCTAAAAATGATAGCAGGACAAAGTCAAATGACAAACTAGAAATAAGAAAAATATTCACAATGTAAGAAAGCATTATATTTACATGATGACCTTTAACATGCATATAACAACAAAAAATAACTCCAGTGAAAAATAAGGACAGGATATGAAAAGTCACGCCAAAATGGTAAGTTAAAATGTTTAATAAAGACATTTTAAAAAACCATCTGTTTGAGAATTTAAAAGATGAATATTGCTGATGAAAATGCAGGGATAAAATTACTCTCATACAATGCTGATGGTCAAGTTAATATGCTATGATTTATCTGTGAGCAAAATATTGAGAATAAATGCCTGTGGATAAGAGAGCAGCAGAATAAACCGGGGTGCATTCATGCTATTGAATACTATGTAAGAATTTAGGAATCTTTAAGATCTACACTTCTTCGCCAGTTCACCTGAACAGAGAGATACAGATCAACTACAAAAATATCCATTCAGTGATTAAAAACCAAAACAGCAACTTTAATGCCCTGTTATCCTGCTAAAAATTGTACATATGCTTTATTTTTTTAAAGTGTTCAAAGCCCTTGGCAAATTCTCCACTTCCTTACTATGCATGGGAAATTTCCTTCTCATCTGTATGCAATGAATGATAGCACTTACCAACAGATACCAAGACAAATATCTGTTAAAATTACCAAAGAAAATATATGTCAATTATATTTTTATGTGATTTTCATTTTGAGTAAATAAACTTAACTTCATTTGTATATCCTATCTGGCATACATATTTAAAAATGAGATATCATCAGCTTCCATGGCCTAACAAACAAAGTTCCGATAATTTTTGAATTCTTATATCTGCTTCACCCTTTGCTGCTCATACAATACAACTTTCAGAAAAAGCCTCTAGCAGAGTGAAGGCTTGAGGACATTGGGTACCGTGGATAGGAGGACAGAGTAGGACCATGGAGGGAAGAATGTTGAAGAAAACATACCAAAGTTTTATTATTGGTTTTCTTAGAGCTGTGGCATCCCAGGTGATTTAGATTCTTCTTTATAATTTTCTTTATTTGTTAGGCAAGGATTATTCATTATTGTTATTATCACACAATATAAGAAAGATATATTTTTAACAATAACACCAGCAATGAAAACACATGTCTTAAAGATGTAAACATTTTGGGGGTAGGGAGTTAGATAAAAATAATTGGCTTTAAGCTTTCTAGCTGTTAATATGAGAAAAGCAATCTGTTCAACAGGTCTAACTCTAATTTTTCCTCCTTTCATCGCTGTGACATGCTGACAAGAGAAATCACATTTTCCACTTGAGTAATTTTTGCTTATATACATTTGCTCTTTGGCGCTTTGGGTAGAATAGGGCAGTTTAAGAATATTCAACTTGCAGTCTAAGAAAGCAAAAAGAGAACTCCAATGAAAATGATCCTCTGAGTTGGTTAATTCCTGACATAGTTATCGGTTTAATCATGCATTCCTTTTTGTTTTGAGTAGAGAAGTGCTGTTAATGTTTTCGATGTGTGTTGGTTAGGAATTCATGGTTCGGAACCTGTCATATTGCTAACAATTCAATTTTGGACATAAGTTCTGAGTCTCATTTTTCATTTGGAGTACAGAGATCATTTTCATTTCTGTTAACGTAGCTAGTTTTGTGATAGTATGCATGAGATTTTTAATTATTGTACTTTTTCACAGTTTTGTATAACTTTCATGTTCTTGTCATAGAACCGTATTAAGAGCCTTATAGAAACGATGAACAGAAAGCTCTGAGGCACATGGCTTTGGTAGTAATTAAATGGCAGCACATTTCAAAGCTATGGATATTTAATGTCTCCAAAGTATCAGTTTCACATTCGGTTCAATACTGTGTGTGGGAATGAAATGCAGAACAGTGTGTTATCACTGCTTAATCATGTAAATGGTATTCACATGTTAGGCCTCTGTTCTTAATTGAATTCTTGCTTCTTTATTTAGAAACTAAGATTTCTTGATAAGGTTAAATTGGTTTTAAACAGAAACATATTCTTAAGAAATTAATTTTCATATTTTCTTGCTGTTACTCAGTTGTAAGTGAATGTCACAGTGTGTGGTGGTGTGAGGGTGCTTCACATTTTACCTTCATTCCGAAGATACAGCACAGAGCTGATGAGCAACGCAATGGAGATGGAATACTGACACTGGAAGCATATCTATGGCAATAATGTACTTTCATTCCTATTTCTGAACACAAAATGGTTCATAAACACCTGAAATTACTACAAACTGGAAATTTAAAAAAAAATTAACTACACTGATTTTTTAGTGTATCTTTCCTGAGGCAATAACTTTAGATGTATCTCCTGTATCTAAGTAACAGAAAACATTCAGATGCTTAAGTCTTTCAGGCAGCAATGGTTTTAGTTCGGTTGCATCTAACGGACATTTCTTATGACTTACTAAAAATAGCTACTGCAGAACGTGCTTTAAGGTATATGTTGAGAATCTTTTTATTTTTGAAATTACTTATTTTGCTTCCTGATCAATGAATCCTTCATATTAATGAGTTTTGGAGACATTATCAATTGGGCTTCTGAAGTTCTTTTAGGGTATATGAAATTCCAAGAAAGCAGCTAGTTCATTGTTAAATTAAACATGGTTATTTATATATTAATGACATGTATATAAAACATTTGCTTTTAATTTCAGTTATTTATTTTTTTAATGGAAATAAAACATTTGAAACATTAGAAAACCTGGTGAAATAGGAGACTCCTGACTATCGCTTCTTCCACAGACAAACTGAGTAAACACCTACACACAAATCAATTCTCTCCAAGAGAAAGGCAGAATCCAGTTGAAAGACTCCTACATACTGGATGACTGAGAAAACATCCGCATCAAACCAATAGGAAAAGCAGATACACTTGTGAATTAACCCCACCCTGAACACACTTGGGAAGGAAACTCCAACTTTCACTTTATCCTGAGGGGTGAGGGACTTGTAGCACACATAGTGTTCCACTTTCACAGTCCTTGTGAAGGGCTTGGCTCTTAAATCACTGTGCTGGAGGAATGAAAGAGACAATCTTCAGAGGATCTCCCTCAAACACAAAGAACAAAATGGGGGTTTGAACCATGTGAGCACCCTTAGCTGTTTGTTGTAGTCCCCTGAGATGAGCCCAGATTTCACCTTCCCCACTGATGAGGTGTGATCACATGCTTTTCCAGGAGCACCCTGTGGTTCTGGCCTCTAACAAGCCAGTATCTGGGAGCCTATATAGCAAGTAAGAATAAACCTCTTGGAGACTAAATGGGAGGATGATACTGCACTGCCCACACCTTCTTCCGTTGCTTACTCCAGTGATAGCTCTACAATCTCTGTGGTAAGAGGTTGGAGGCCACTACCAGCAAGAATGGAGGGACAGCACACCCTGTCTGCCCTGCCCTGCCATGCCCTCTTCCCTGGTTTGCTCCCATGATAAATGTCTGTCTGCAATCCCTCATTAGATGGTGGCAGAAGGACTCCTATGTGCCTGAAAGGGAAAGTAGGCACTCCCTGACTCCCTGAACCTTTTTCTCTGGATTGCTTCAGCAATCACAACAGAAGGCTCCCCCTGCAAGGGATGGGAGGTGTGAAACTTCTTCCACTTGCTTGAACAGGACAGCAGACACTTTCTGCACCTTTTCCACCAACTAGCTCCAGTGATAATCCTAGCCCTGAAATATCTCCATGAAAACACATTTGAGACCTGTGTCAGTAACCATGGAAGTTATGGCACTCCCCACACCTTCTTCTCTGGTTTGTTCTAGAAATAAACTCTTGCTGTCTTTCACTGGAAGGAGGCAGGGGGACATCTTCATGTCTCTATGGGAATGCAGATACTCCCTGCACCTCCCTCCCTTGCTTGCTTTAGCAATAAGTCCAGGCCAGAAGTCTCTGTCTATTAGGAGGGTATGAAACTTGTGCTTCCTTCAATGGGAGAGTGGGAACTTCATGCACTTTCTTCCCTGGCTTTCTCCTGAAATAATTCCAAATATACAGACTCTCTCTGAGAGTAACTTCTGCATGCATCAAGTGCCCCAGCTTTTCAGCCTTCATCCTAAGAACTGACTCCTAAATCGCCTAGCTCTGGGAGTTAACAGAGCTCTATACTATCGAGTTTCTTAGACCACAGAGGAAAAAAAAAAGTGACTTTTAAACCTTTAAATGGTCATCAGTATTTTCTGAGGTTCAAAGTGAGCAATCTGATCAAAACTACGGGCATGTTCCTCAGTCCCTCTTCTTGGTGTAGAGCAAAATGAGTGGAAGGTTAATTTTGGTTCTCAGCTTTTCTGCAAAGAAAGAAGGATAAATCTAACATAAATCTAACAAACAAACACCCCAACCTTTCCTGCTTTATCCCAAAGGACTGGCTTCTATCCTACCTCTCTCAAGGCAATAACATGACTTGACACTTTTTAATTTCTCTGGGGCTACAAATAACAAAGGCAGCAGGTTGGACAAATACAAAGAGTTGAAAGGCACCTAGAATCACTGACTGTGCTGACTGAGGAGAAACATATCTTACATAAGACCAGAGTAACAAAACTTAGAGAGCTTGCTTGTTCATTCATAGCATGTACTGAAATCAACACAGAGAGTCAAGGAAATTGAAGAAACAGGGAAACATATTCCAAATAAAAGAATAAAATACATCTCCAGAAGCCGATCTTAGTAAAGTGGAGATACAACCGCTCTTGAGTCAGCTTGTGGTGAATGCTGCCTGGCCTAGGACTCACACTTCAGGGCAATGGGGTCCTTTCTGGTTCAGGGCAGGTCCAGAAATGCCATCCAAGGGTCAAATTCTAGAATCAGGTACCCCAATAGCCTCCTTGGTGCTCTTCCCAGCATAGCCATACTGGTACCTGAAGCCAGTAAGTCTCAGAGGGTCACCCAAGGCTTGCTACATAGTACTTGGGTATTGCTCCTGGTCATTAAGGGCCCAAGGGCTCTTCTGTTGGGAGATGATGAATGCTGCCAGAACTGGGCCCTTTCTTTCAAAGCAGTGGGCCCCCTTCTGGCCCAGAGCATGTCTACAAATGTCATCTGGGAGCAAGATCCTGGAATGAGGATCTCATGACTCTGATTGGTGCCCCTCTCCTGCTATGGCTGAATTGATACCCAAGATGTAAAGCAAAGTCCTTCCCACTCTTCTCTACTCAAGCATAAGGAAGGGGTCTTTTTTGGAGCTGTGAACTGTGCAGCCTGGGGTTAGAGGAGGGGTGATGCCAACACTCCCTTAGCTGCCCCAGCTCGTGTCTCAGTATGTCACATCCCCGCACCAGTCCACTGTCTCTGGGCCTAGTTCAGCACTAGGACCTGCCTATGAGTTGTAGTTCTTGAGAATTCAAGTTTGGACTACTGGGATCAGCGAATCCCCTTCTGGTTAGGGCTGATCTAAATGCTTTCTCCATGGGCAGCATCAGCTGAGTTAGGTATGGTTTTCCTTTCTGCTCTAACAGGACAGCAGTGAGTTCAATGCCTTACAGTTGCTGTGTTCTCCCTCCCCCAGTGTCCAGATATGCTCTCTGCACCCTGCCACTGCTGCTGAGGGGAGAAGAAAGGGTGGTGTCAGTGATTAACTACTGCTTTTTCTACCTCTTCAATGCCTCTTTCAGTGATATAAAGTTACCACCAGGTACTATGAGTGCTCACCTGGTTTATGGTTCTTATGAAGGTGATTTTTCTGTGTAGATAGTTGTTAAATTGATGTCTTTGCAGGGAGGACGATTGGTTGAACCTTCTATTCTGCCACCTTGCTCCTCTGATTTGCATATCGTTTTCAATTGCACACAGATCATTCTCCAAAATAGATCGTATGTTAGGCCACAAAATAATTCTTAACAAATTTAAGAGATTGCAATTATATTGAGTATCTTTTCTGATCACAATGGCTTAAAACTAGAAATAAATAACAGGAGGAATCTTGGAAAACTCACAAGTAAATGGAAATTAAATAATATGTTCTTGAACAGGCCGGGCGCAGTGGCTCATGCCTGTAATCCCAGCACTTTGGGAGGCCACAGCAGATTGATCACTTGAGGCCAGGAGTTCAGGACCAGCCTGGCCAACATGGCGAAACCCTCTCTACTAAAAATACAAAAAGAAAAAAAAAAAATTAGCCTGCATGGTGGCACATGTATGTAATCCCAGCTACTTAGGTGGCTGAGTCATGAAAATCACTTGAACCCAGGAAGTGGAGGTTGCAGTGAGCTCAGACTGCACCACTACCCTCCAGCCTGGACAGCAGGGTAACTGTATCAAAAAAAAAAAATCTTGACACAAACGAAAATGGAAATAAAACACACTAAAACTTATAGAATCAGCAAAAGCAGTCTTGAGAGGGAGTTTATAGCAATAAGTGCCTTCATCAAAAAAGAAAAAAGATCTCAAATAAACAACCTAATGTTACATCTCAAATAACTAGAAAAGAAAACTATAGTTTGGCCAAACTTCACAGAAGAAAGGAAATAGCAAATATCAGAGAAGAAATCTGCTAAATAGAGACAAGAAAAACAATAGAAAAGATAAACCTAAAAGCTGGGTTTTTGAAAAGGTACACAAAATTGATAAATTTTATCTAAACAAAGATTATATTCATCGGTGAAAAGCTGAAAGCTTTTCTTTTAAGGTCAGGAACAAAATAAAGATGCCTACTCTGGCACCATCTATCCAACATAGTAATAGAATGCCTGGCCAGAGCAATTAGGCAAGAGAAAGGAATAAAAGCCATGCAAATCAGAAGGGAAGAAGTAAAATTATCTCTATTTGGTAATGGCATATCTTATATATTAAAAACTGTTATTTTATAAAAAAGTAAAAACTGACAAATTCAGTAGTTTCATGCTACAAAATTACCACACAAAAAATCAGTAGCATCCCTATATACTAACAACAAACTATCCAAGAAAACAAATTAAGAAAAAAAATCCCATTTACAATTGCATCAAAATAAAGAAATATAATACATAAATAAAATTTTAGGAAGTAAATTTAACCAAAGAATTGGGAGATCTGTGCACTGAAAACTGTAAATCATTGATGAAAAATTGAAGAGGACACCAATAAATGAAAAACTATTCCATGTTCCTAGATTGGAAGAATTAATATAGTTAAAATGTCCATACTACCCGAAGTGATGTATATATTTAATTCAATTTCTATCAAAACTTCATGTTATTTTCCACAGAAATAGAAAAGAAATCCTCAAATTTGTATGGAACCAAAAAAGAGGAAAAAATACTAAAATTTATATGGAACCAAAAAATACCCCAAATAGCAAAAGAAGTCTTAAGCAAAAGGAACAAAGCTAGAGGCATCCCACTTTCTGATTTCAAAGTATATTATGAAACTAATTGTAATCAAAACAGCATGATACTGGTATAAAAAGACACATCAACCTATGGAAGAGAGTAGAAAGTCCAGAAATAACCCCATGTATTTACAATCCTTTTACTTTTGGAAAAAGTACCAAGAACACACAATGAGAAAAGGACAGTCTCTTCAATTAATACTTCTGGGAAAACTGGATATCCCCATACAGAATGAAATTAGACCCTTATCTCACAGCATATACAGGCTGCTCTCCATATTTACTGCTTCTGCATCTGCGGATTCAACCAACCACAGATCAAAAATATTTGACAAAACTAACAATAAAAATAACAATAAAGCAATAAAAACAATACAAATAAAAAACAATACAGTACAGTATATTAACTATTTATATGGCATTTACTTTATATTAAGTATTATAAGTAATCTGGAGGTGACTTAAATTATACAAGAGGATGTGCATAAGTTATATGCAAATACTATATCATTTTATATAGGCATATCTCATTTTATTGTGCTTTGCTTTATTATACTTTGTAGATATTATGGGTCTTTTTTGTCTTGTGTTTGTTTTTTACAAATTGAAGATTTGTGGTGACCCTGTGTGGAGCAACACTATCGGCACCATTTTTCCAACATTATGTGCCCATTTCCTATCTCTGTGACATATTTTGTTAATTCTCACAATATTTCAGACAGTTTCATTATTGTTATATCTGTTATGATGATCTGTAATCAGTGATCTTCAATGTTACTATTGTAATTGTTTTGGTGCACCACAAACTGCACCTATATAAGACAGCAAACTTAATCAATAAATGTTGTGTGTGTTTTGACTCCTCCACTCACTGACTAGTCTATCATCTCTCTTCATCTCCTCAGCCCTCCTTATTCCCTAAGACACAACAATTTTGAAATAAGACCAATTCATAACCCTACAAGTTGCTGCAACATGGATGGAAATGGAGGGCATTTTCTTAAGCAAACTAATACAGCAGCAGAAAACCACATGTTCTCACTTATAAATGGGAGCTAAAAATTGAGTGCACATGACACGAAGAAAGGAACAATAGACCCCAGAGCCTACTTAAGGATGGAGGGTGGGAAGAGGATGAGGATTGAAAAACTACCTGCCGAGTACTGTGCTTACTACCTGGGTGATGAAATAATCTGTACACCAAACTCCCACAACAGGCAATTTACCCATGTAACAAACCTGCACATGTACCCACTGAGCCTAAAATAAAAGTTGGAAAGAAAAAAAAATGACCTTACAATGGCCTCTAAGTATTCAACTGAAAGGAAAAGTTGCACAGCTCTCAATTTAAATCAAAAGCTAGAAATAAAATAAGCTTAGTGAGTAAGGCATGCCAAAAAGCTGAGACAGGCTGAAAGCTAAGCCTCTTATACTAGACTTGTGAGTACAAGTTAGCCAAGTTGTGAGTACAAAGGAAACGTTCTTAAAGGAAATTAAAAGTGCTACTTCGGTGAACACAGGAATGATGAAGTGAAACAGCCTTATTGCTGATATTAAGAAAGTTTGCTTAGTGTGGGTAGATCAAACCAGCCACAACATTCCCTTAAACTAAAGTTGAATCCAGAGTGAGACCCTAACTTTCTTCAATTCTATGAAAGCTGAGAGGGGTGAGGAAGCTACAGAAGAAAAGTTGGAAACTAGCAGAGGTTGGTTCTTGGGATTTAAGGAAAGAAGCCATCTTCACAACATAAAAGTGCAAGATGAAGCAGCAAGTGCTGATGTAGAAGACGTAGCACATTATCCAGAAAATCCAGCTAAGATTATTGATGAAAGTAGCTACATTAAACAACAGATTTTATGTTGGATTCAGCAGCACACATACTGAAACTGGAATGATACAGAAAAAATTAGCATAGCCCCTGCTAAATGATGGCATGCAAATTCATGAAGTATTTCATATTTTTAGCTATAAAGATACTAGAGGCAAGCCTAGGAAAGACTCTTCTAGACATCGGTCTGGGTAGAAAATTCATGACCAGGATCTCAAAAGCAAAACAACAAAAACCAAGATAGTCAGATGGTACTTGATTAAGAAGCTTCTGCACAGCAAAAGAACCAATCAACAGAGTGAACAGACAGCCTACAGAATGGGAGAGGATGTTTGTAAACTATGCATCTGACAGGAAACTAATATCCAGAATTTACAAGGAACTCAAACAACTCAACAACAAACAGATGACCCCGTTAAAGAGTGGCCAGAAGATACTAATAGATATTTTTCAAAAGCAGCATAATTTTTATACATTTGTTGGCTATTTGTATAAAAATCTATTGAAAAATAGAAAATTTTCAAATTTTTATTTTCAATAGATATGTTTCATACAAATAGCTAACAAGCATATAAAAATGCTTAACGTTGTTAATCATCAGAGGAATTTAAATTAATGCCACAGTGGGATGTCATCTTATACCAGTTAGAATGGCTATTATATGAAAAGACAAAAAGTAACAAATGTGGTTGAGGAGGCAGAGAAAAGGGAAGGCTTGTGCACTGTTGATGAGACTATAAATTGGCATAACCTCTATTTAAAACACATGAGGATTTATCAAAGAACCAAAAATGGAGCTGCTGTTTGATCTAGCAATCACACTGCTGGGTATCTACCCAAAGGAAAAGAAATAATTATACCTATCAATAAGATTACTGCACTCATATGTTTATTGCAGCACTATTCATAACAGCAGAGATTTGGATTCAACCTAAGTGTCTATCAGAGGAGGATTGGATAAAGACAATGCATATACACACAATAGAATAATATTTGACCATTAAAAATAATTAAACCATGTCTTTGAAGCAACATGGATGGAACTGGAAGCCATTATCTTAAGTGAAACAACTCAGAAGCAGAAAGAAAAAAAATACTGTATGGTCTCACTTATAAGTGCAAACTAAACAATGTATACATGTGGATGTAATGTATGACTTGGAGACTCAGATGAGTGGGGATGGGAAGAGGGGTGGATGATGGGAATTACCCGATGGGTCCAATGTACATTATTTGGATAGTGGATACACTAAACACCCAGACTTCACAACCAGACAATATAGCCATATAACAAAATTGCACTTGTATCCCTTAAATTTATACAAAACAGGCCAGGCAAGGTGCACTTTGGGAGGCAGAGGCGGGTGAATCACCTGAGATCAGGAGTTCGAGACCACCCTGGCTCACATGACAAAACCCTGTCTCTACTAAAAATACAAATATTAGCTGGGCATGGTGGCACACACCTGTAATCCCAGCTACTCGGGAGGCTGAGGCAGAAGAATCGCTTGAACCAGGGAGGTGGAGGTCACAGTGAGCTGAGATTGTGCCATTGCACTCCAGCCTGGGCAACATGAGCAAAACTCCATCTCAAAAAAATACATATACAAAACAAATGAACGATTTTCAGTGGAGACAAAAAAGGCTTCTATTAGAAGAAGATGCCACCTAGAATTTTCATAGGTAGAGAGAAGTCAATACTTGACTTCAAAGCTTCAAAAGACAAGCCAACTCTCTTTTAGGGGTTAATGAAGCTGATGTCTAGAAGTTGAAGCCAATGCTCATTTACTCAAAAATCCTAGAGCCCCTAAGAATTAATTATGCAAAGTTTACTCTGACTCTGCTCTATATATGGAACAATAAATCCTAAATGACAGTACATTAGTTTATAGCATCATTTACTGAATATTTTAAGCTTATGATTGAGACTTATTGCTAAGAAAAAGAGATTCCTTTCAAAATATTAATGCTGCTTGACAATGCACCTAGTCACCTAAAGTACTGATGGAGATGTACAAAGAGATGAATATGGTTTTCATGCCTACTAACACATCTATCCTGTAGCCCATAGATAAAGGAGTAATTTTGACTTTCGGGTCTTCTTATTTAAGAAATATATTTTGTAAACTATAGCTGCCATAGACAGTAATTTCTCTGATGAATCTGACCTAAGTAAACTGAAAATCTTCTGGAAGGTATTCACCATTCTAGATGTCATTAAGAAAATTCATGATTATGTCAGGAGTCCAAAATACCAACATTAACAAAAGTTTGGAAGAAGTTTATTCCAACTCTTATGGATTACTTTCAGAAGTTTAAGACTTCAGTGAAGTAAGTAACTGCAGATGTGGTAGAAATTAAAAGCGAACTAGACTTAGAAGCGGAGACTGAAGTTGTTACTGAACTAAAATCTCATGATAAAACTTGAATGGATGAGGAGTTGTTTCCTATGGATGAGCAAGAAAGTGGTTTCTTGAGATCAAATCTACTCCGGGTCAAGATGCTGTGAACATTGTTGAAATGACCACAAAGGATTTAAAATATTACATAAATTTAGTTGATAAAGCAAACTGTAGGGTTTGAGAGGATTAATTCCAATTTGGAAAGAGGTTTTATTATGGGTAAAATGCAATCAAACATCACATGCTACAGAGAAATCCTTCTGCAAGGAAGAGTCAATTGATGCGACAAACTTCATTTTTGTTTCATTTCAAGAAATTGGCACAGCCATTCAAACCTTCATCAACCACCACCCTCGTCAGTCAGCAGCCATTAATATCAAAGCAAGACCCTCCACCAGCAAAATGATTATGACTTGCTGAAGGCTCAAATGATCATTAGCATTTTTATCAATAAATAATTCTTAAATTTAGATATGTACTTTGCTTTTTTAAACCTAATTCTATTGTACACTTAATAAATTATGGTATAATATAAACATAACTTTTATATATACTAGGAACCAAAAAAATTGTGTGACTTATTTGTGATATTTGCTTTATTGTGGTAGCCTGATCTAAACCAGCAATATCTTTTAGGCATGCCTTTAAAAGGGACTTGACAGCCTGTGGATTTTGGTATGCTCAGAGAGTCCTAGAAAAAATCCAATGAATACCAATCCAATGAGTTTAATCCCATGAATTCAAGGGACAACTAAACAAAAATCAACTCAAACTGGATAAAATACTTAAATGTAAGACTAGTTATTTTAAAGCTGTTAGGAGAAAACATGTGGGAAAAGCTCCATGACATTAATCTGGGCAATGATTTCTTGAGAAGTATTCCAGAAGCAAATGTAACAAAAGTAAAAATAGATATATAAGATTACATCACACTAAAGAGTTTCTGCATGATAAAGAAAACATTGTGGAAGTCAGTGTGGAGATTCCTCAGGGATCTAGAACTAGAAATACCATTTGACCCAGCCATCCCATTACTGGGTATATACCCAAAGGACTATAAATCATGCTGCTATAAAGACACATGCACACGTATGTTTATTGTGGCACTATTCACAATAGCAAAGACTTGGAACCAACCCAAATGTCCAACAATGATAGACTGGATTAAGAAAATGTGGTACATATACACCATGGAATACTATGCAGCCATAAAAAATGATGAGTTCATGTCCTTTGTAGGGTCATGGATGAAATTGGAAACCATCATTCTCAGTAAACTAAACTATCGCAAGAACAAAAAACCAAACACCGCATGTTCTCAGTCATAGGTGGGAATTGAACAATGAGAACACATGGACACAGGAAGGGGAACATCAGACTCTGGGGACTGTTGTGGGGTGGGGGGAGAGGGGAGGGATAGCATTAGGAGATATACCTAATGCTAAATGACGAGTTAATGAGTGCAGCACACCAGCATGGCACATGTATACATATGTAACCTGCACATTATGCACATGTACCCTAAAACTTAAAGTATAATAATAATAAAATTAAAAAAAATAAAAAATAAAGAAAACATTCATTTTGTAAAGTCAAAAAAAAAAACACATAGTGAAGAGACAACCCGTAGACTGGGAAAAGATATTTTCAAAGCATACATCTGATAAGGGGTTAATATTCAAAATATATAAGCAACTCAATAGCAAGGAAAAAGATAACCTGATTAAAAATTGAGCAAAGTATCTGAACAGACATTTCTCAAAAAAAGATACAATCACCAATAGATATATTTAAAAACATTCAACATCTCTTATCATCAGAGAAATGCTAATTAAAACCACAATGAGATATTGTGGTTTTACCACATACCTGCTAGAATGGCTATTATTAAAAAGACAGATGATAACAAGTGTTAGTGAGGGTATGAAAAAAAAAGAACTCTTGTATAATGTTGATGGGCATGGAAATTAGCATAGCCATTTTGGAAAATAGTATAGAATTTCTTCAAAAAACTAAAAATACAATTACATGTGATGCAGCAATCCCACTTCTGGGCATATATCTGAAGACATTGAAATCAATATGTCAAAGGGATAACTACACCCACATGTTCATTTCAGCATGATTCACAATAGCCGATATACTAAAACAACCAAAGTGTCCATCAATGAATGAATAAAGAAAATGTAGTATATATACACAATTGAATATTACACAGCCTTAAAAACACAATAAAATTCTGTCATTCATGATGACATAAATAGAACTGGAAGATAGTATGCTAAGGGAAATAAACCAGGCACTGAGGGACAAATTCTGTATCATTTTCCTTATATGCGGAATCTAAAAAAGTCAATCTCATAGACGCAGAGTAGAAAAGTGATTACCAGAAGATGGGGGAACGTGGAAGGGATGCAGAAAGAAAAGATGCTAATGAAAGAGTACAAAGTTTCAGACTAGAGATATAAGTTTTATTGATTCATTACACTTCTTGGTAACCACAGTTAATATATTTTATATTTCAAAATTGCTAAAAGAATAGATTTTTAACATTCTTACATAAAAAATGATAAATTTGTGAGGTGATGGATATGTTAATTTGCTTGATTGAATCTTTTAATAATGTATACATAGATTAAAGCATTATGTTGTACTCCATAAATATATACAATTGTTATTAGTTGATTAAAAATAAAATATAAAAAACTGAACCAAGCTAAGACAAAATATATAAACAAAATTTTCTTCAAAGCAGGAAAAAACTTCATTGAAACATATATACACATATACACCAAGGAAACATTGAAATATTTACTTCCTAAGTTATCCTTTTAATTTAGATAATAAACCCTTAACAGTAATAAAGTGCTTATTTAAACTCAGGAAAGTGGCACTTAAACTTAGGAAATTATTTGTCACTCTTTCAGTTTTTGAATGAGTACAGAGAATAAATTTATTGTCAATCAAATGTGTTTTGCATTGTAATAATATAGTTATCTTACACCATAATGTGCTGAAGAAAATATTGAGAATGACTGTCAGAATATTTTATAGAAGTCTAGGATTTTGAAGGATTTCTGAATTCAAATCCCAAACCTTGCAACTGGCCATGTAGTATTAACTAAACATTACTGACTCTCAGTATAAAAGTGAAAACTGGAGAGGAGCCAAGATGGCTGAATAGGAAGAGCTCCGGCCTACAGCTCCCAGCGTGAGCGACGCAGAAGATGGGTGATTTCTGCATTTCCATCTGAGGTACCAGGTTCATCTCACTTGGGAGTGCCAGACAGTGGGCACAGGTCAGTGGGTGCGCGCACCCTGTGCGAGCCGAAGCAGGGCGAGGCATTGCCTCACTAGGGAAGCGCAAGGGGTCAGGGAGTTCCCTTTCCGAGTCAAAGAAAGGGGTGACTGACGCACCTGGAAAATCGGGTCACTCCCACCCGAATACTGCGCTTTTCCGACCAGCTTAAAAAACGGCACACCACGAGATTGTATCCCGCACCTGGCTTGGAGGGTCCTACGCCCACGGAGTCCTCTCGCTGATTGCTAGCACAGCAGTCTGAGATCAAACTGCAATGCGGCAGCCAGGCTGGGGGAGGGGCGCCCGCCATTGCCCAGGCTTGCTTAGGTAAACAAAGCAGCGGGGAAGCTCGAACTGGGTGGAGCCCACCACAGCTAAAGGAGGCCTGCCGGCCTCTATAGGCTCCACCTCTGGGGGCAGGGCACAGACAAACAAAAAGACAGCAGTAACCTCTGCAGACTTAAATGTCCCTGTCTGACAGCTTTGAAGAGAGCAGTGGTTCTCCCAGCACACAGCTGGAGATCTGAGAATGGGCAGACTGCCTCCTCAAGTGGGTCCCTGACCCCCAAGCAGCCTACCTGGGAGGCACCCCCCAGCAAGGGCACACTGACACCTCACACGGCCAGGTACTCCAACAGACCTGCAGCTGAGGGTCCTGTCTGTTAGAAGGAAAACTAACAAACAGAAAGGACATCCACACCAAAAACCCATCTGTACATCACCATCATCAAAGACCAAAAGTAGATAAAACCACAAAGATGGGGAAAAAACAGAACAGAAAAACTGCAAACTCTAAAAAATAGAGCGCCTCTCCTCCTCCAAAGGAACGCAGTTCCTCACCAGCAACGGAACAAAGCTGGATGGAGAATGACTTTGACGAGCTGAGAGAAGAAGGCTTCAGACGATCAAATTACTCTGAGCTACGGGAGGACATTCAAACCAAAGGCAAAGAAGTTGAAAACTTTGAAAAAAATTTAGAAGAATATATAACTAGAATAACCAATACAGAGAAGTGCTTAAAGGAGCTGATGGAGCTGAAAACCAAGGCTCGAGAACTACGTGAAGAATGCAGAAGCCTCAGGAGCTGATGTGATCAACTGGAAGAAAGGGTATCAGCGATGGAAGATGAAATGAATGAAATGAAGCGAGAAGGGAAGTTTAGAGAAAAAAGAATAAAAAGAAATGAGAAAGCCTCCAAGAAATATGGGACTATGTGAAAAGACCAAATCTACGTCTGATTAGGGTACCTGAAAGCAATGGGGAGAATGGAACCAAGTTAGAAAAAACTCTGCAGGATATTATCCAGGAGAACTTCCCCAATCTAGCAAGGCAGGCCAACGTTCAGATTCAGGAAATACAGAGAACACCACAAAGATATTCCTCGAGAAGAGCAACTCCAAGACACATAATTGTCAGATTCACCAAAGTTGAAATGAAGGAAAAAATGTTAAGGGCAGCCAGAGAGAAAGGTCGGGTTACCCTCAAAGGGAAGCCCATCAGACTAACAGCGGATCTCTCGGCAGAAACCCTGCAAGCCAGAAGAGAGTGGGGGCCAATATTCAACATTCTTAAAGAAAAGAATTTTCAACCCAGAATTTCATATCCAGCCAAACTAAGCTTCATAAGCGAAGGAGAAATAAAATACTTGACAGACAAGCAAATGCTGAGAGATTCTGTCACCACCAGGCCCAAGGAAGCACTAAACATGGAAAGGAACAACCAGTACCAGCCACTGCAAAATCATGCCAAAATGTAAAGACCATCGAGACTAGGAAGAAACTGCATCAACTAACCAGCAAAAGAACCAGCTAACATCATAATGACAGGATCAAATTCACACATAACAATATTAACTTTAAATGTAAATGGACTAAATGCTCCAATTAAAAGACACAGACTGGCAAATTGGATAAAGAGTCAAGACCCATCAGTGTGCCGTACTCAGGAAACCCATCTCACGTGCAGAGACACACATAAGCTCAAAATAAAAGGATGGAGGAAGATCTACCAAGCAAATGGAAAACAAAAAAAGGCAGGGGTTGCAATCCTAGTCTCTGATAAAACAGACTTTAAACCAACAAAGATCAAAAGAGACAAAGAAGGCCATTACATAATGGTAAAGGGATCAATTCAACAAGAAGAGCTAACTATCCTAAATATATATGCACCCAATACAGGAACACCCAGATTCATAAAGCAAGTCCTGAGTGACCTACAAAGAGACTTAGACTCCCACACATTAATAATGGGAGACTTTCACACCCCACTGTCAAAATTAGACAGATCAACGAGACAGAAAGTCAACAAGGATACCCAGGAATTGAACTCAGCTCTGCACCAAGCGGACCTAATAGACATCTACAGAACTCTCCACCCCAAATCAACAGAATATACATTTTTTTCAGCACCACACCACACCTATTCCAAAATTGACCACATACTTGGAAGTAAAGCTCTCCTCAGCAAATGTAAAAGAACAGAAATTATAACAAACTATCTCTCAGACCACAGTGCAATCAAACTAGAACTCAGGATTAAGAAACTCACTCAAAACCGCTCAACTACATGGAAACTGAACAACCTGCTCCTGAATGACTACTGGGTACATAACGAAATGAAGGCAGAAATAAAGATGTTCCTTGAAACCAATGAGAACAAAGACATAACATACCAGAATCTCTGGGACGCATTCAAAGCAGTGTGTAGAGGGAAATTTATAGCACTAAATGCCCACAAGAGAAAGCAGGAAAGATCCAAAATTGACACCCTAACATCACAATTAAAAGAACTAGAAAAGCAAGAGCAAACACATTCAAAAGCTAGCAGAAGGCAAGAAATAACTAAAATCAGAGCAGAACTGAAGGAAATAGAGACACAAAAAACCCTTCAAAAAATTAATGAATCCAGGAGCTGGTTTTTTGAAAGGATCAACAAAATTGATAGACTGCTAGCAAGACTAATAAAGAAAAAAAGAGAGAAGAATCAAATAGACGCAATAAAAAATGATAAAGGGGATATCACCACCAATCCCACAGAAATACAATCTACCATCAGAGAATACTACAAACACCTCTACGCAAATAAACTAGAAAATCTAGAAGAAATGGATAAATTCCTCGACACATACACTCTCCCAAGACTAAACCAGGAAGAAGTTGAATCTCTGAATAGACCAATAACAGGATCTGAAATTGTGGCAATAATCAATAGTTTACCAACCAAAAAGAGTCCAGGACCAGATGGATTCACAGCCAAATTCTACCAGCGGTACAAGGAGGAGCTGGTACCATTCCTTCTGAAACAATTCCAATCAATAGAAAAAGAGGGAATCCTCCCTAACTCATTTTATGAGGCCAGCATCATTCTGATACCAAGGCCGGACAGAGACACAACCAAAAAAGAGAATTTTAGACCAATATCCTTGATGAACATTGATGCAAAAATCCTCAATAAAATACTGGCAAAACGAATCCAGCAGCACATCAAAAAGCTTATCCACCATGATCAGTGGGCTTCATCCCTGGGATGCAAGGCTGGTTCAACATACGCAAATCAATAAATGTAATCCAGCATATAAACAGAGCCAAAGACAAAAACCACATGATTCTCTCAATAGATGCAGAAAAAGCCTTTGACAAAATTCAACAACCCTTCATGCTAAAAACTCTCAATAAATTAGGTATTGATGGGACGTATTTCAAAATAATAAGAGCTATCTATGACAAACCCACAGCCAACATCATACTGAATGGGCAAAAACTGGAAGCATTCCCTTTGAAAACTGGCACAAGACAGGGATGCCCTCTCTCACCACTCCTATTCAACATAGTGTTGGAAGTTCTGGCCAGGGCAATTAGGCAGGAGAAGGAAATAATGGGTATTCAATTAGGAAACGAGGAAGTCAAATTGTCCCTGTTTGCAGATGACATGATTGTGTATCTAGAAAACCCCACTGTCTCAGCCCAAAATCTCCTTAAGCTGATAAGCAACTTCAGCAAAGTCTCAGGATACAAAATCAATGTACAAAAATCACAAGCATTCTTATACACCAACAACAGACAAACAGAGCCAAATCATGAGGGAAATCCCATTCACAATTGCTTCAAAGAGAATAAAATACCTAGGAATCCAACTTACAAGGGATGTGAAGGACCTCTTCCAGGAGAACTACAAACCACTGCTCAAGGAAATAAAAGAGGATACAAACAAATGGAAGAACATTCCATGCTCATGGGTAGGAAGAATCAATATCGTGAAAATGGCCATACTGCCAAAGGTAATTTACAGATTCAATGCCATCCCCATCAAGCTACCAATGACTTTCTTCACAGAATTGGAAAAAACTACTTTAAAGTTCATATGGAACCAAAAAAGAGCCCGCATCGCCAAGTCAATCCTAAGCCAAAAGAACAAAGCTGGAGGCATCACACTACCTGACTTCAAACTATACTACAAGGCTACAGTAACCAAAACAGCATGGTACTGGTACCAAAACAGAGATATAGATCAATGGAACAGAACAGAGCCCTCAGAAATAATGCCGCATATCTACAACTATCTGATCTTTGACAAACCTGAGAAAAACAAGCAATGGGGAAAGGATTCCCTATTTAATAAATGGTGCTGGGAAAACTGGCTAGCCATATGTACAAAGCTGAAACTGGATCCCTTCCTTACACCTTATACAAAAATCAATTCAAGATGGATTAAAGACTTAAACGTTAGACCTAAAACCATAAAAACCCTAGAAGATAACCTAGGCATTACCATTTAGGACACAGGCATGGGCAAGGACTTCATGTCTAAAACACCAAAACCAATGGCAACAAAAGACAAAATGGACAAATGGGATCTAATTAAACTAAAGAGCTTCTGCACAGCAAAAGAAACTACCATCAGAGTGAACAGGCAACCTACAGAATGGGAGAAAATTTTCGCTACCTACTCATCTGACAAAGGGCTAATATCCAGAATCTACAATGAACTCAAACAAATTTACAAGAAAAAAACAGACAACCCCATCAAAAAGTGGGCAAAGGACATGAACAGACACTTCCCAAAAGAAGACATTTATGCAGCCAAAAAACACATGAAAAAATGCTCATCATCACTGGCCATCAGAGAAATGCAAATCAAAACCACAATGAGATACCATCTCACACCAGTTAGAATGGCAATCATTCAAAAGTCAGGAAACAACAGGTGCTGGAGAGGATGTGGAGAAATAGGAACACTTTTACACTGTTGGTGGGACTGTAAACTAGTTCAACCATTGTGGAAGTCAGTGTGGCGATTCCTCAGGGATCTAGAACTAGAAATACCATTTGACCCAGCCATCCCATTACTAGGTAAATACCCAAAGGACTATAAATCATGCTGCTATAAAGACACATGCACACGTATGTTTATTGTGGCATTATTCACAATAGCAAAGACTTGGAACCAACCCAAATGTCCAACAATGATAGACTGGATTAAGAAAATGTGGCACATATACACCATGGAATACTATGCAGCCATAAAAAATGATGAGTTCATGTCCTTTGTAGGGACATGGATGAAATTGGAAATCATCATTCTCAGTAAACTATTGCAAGAACAAAAAACCAAACACCGCATATTCTCACTCATAGGTGGGAATTGAACAATGAGATCACATGGACACAGGAAGGGGAATATCACACCCTGGGGACTGTTGTGGGGTGGGAGGAGCGGGGAGAGATAGCATTGGGAGATATACCTAATGCTGGATGACGAGTTAGTGGGTGTAGCGCACCAGCATGGCACAGGTATACATATGTAACTAACCTACACAATGTGCACATGTACCCTAAAACTTAAAGTATAATAAAAAAAAAAATTAAATTAAATTAAATTAAAAAAAAGTGAAAACTGAAAAATGCTAAGTATAGAATTAAATAGATAATATATAACCTATTTTTAGATAAGTCTACTTGTTAGGTGTCTAAATAAATTACAACCCATTTAGGACCTACTTATCTTAATATATTCATAAGGGTGAGTTTGTTTATTATCCACAATATCTGATTCAGAAGTCATCCTTATCCTCGTCCATGGCACCTTACAGCTACATTAAAGCAATTTCTTGCTTATAGATTGGGCTGCTTGGATAGACTAAAAACTCCTTGTAAGCAGTAACTTTCTTAATCATTTTGGTACTGTAAGCACTTTTTTTGTAGCATTTACAAGTGCTCAATAACTGTTTCTTGGCTTTAGTTAAAAAGCCACAACTGATTCTTCAGTGATTTGAAACTCCTAGGCAGATAGTTTAAAAACCCTTTAAAACTTCAGGAACTTTCTAAGAAACAACCAGAGGAGCAATCCCAACCAAACCAAACCAAATAAAATCAGAACATCTGTGTTCTATTATAATTTATTCCCAGAAAAGTGGTTGCCTCATCTGTACTGAATATAAAGGGGTCTCCTGGCTGGTTCTTCAGAGAATTAAAAAGTTCTACTTCTAGATGACCTGAAGGGAAGGTCAGTAGAGTTGATGAGGTTATTTTAAGACATATTAATATAAAGTAATTTGGAAATATTCAGAAGAAGATGACAAGGACAACCCCAGGTTGTAGAGGAGAGGACTGGGTTGGACATTCAGATTGCATTATTACATGAGCTTTAAATGTCTTGTTAGTACTGTTAAAATTTTTTATGCATTTGGGTAGATTTGCCTACAGTATACTATCACTATAACTAGTATATTTATTCAATTAATTTCCAAGTGCAAATAGTGATAACACAGCCATTTTATCAGGGATAAACATATTATTTAAAGAACACACACCTTAACCTAATCATTTGAGTTAATCATTACTCCTGAATTCCTATTACTTGTTATGCTGAATATAAATTTTCATAGATGAAAACTCTTACATAGTGTAAGTTCCTAAAAGTACAAGTGCATAATTCTCCACCAGAGAATGAAAACATTGCTATACAAAATCCATCTGACCTTTAGTTTTAGATAAACAGAAGCTACTACCTGTGTGCAGAATAGACAAGGAGATTCAATGGGAACCTCCTCCTGTACAGCCCAACTGAACAACTGCCAACACAAGCAGAAAAGCAGATCTCTTTTCTATCCTCTGTACTCCTAGGACTTGAATTTGAAGGTCTACCATCTGCATGTGCCTCTTAAGTCCTGGATTTATCACTCCAGGCACCTTCATACACAAACAGGTGGAACTGAGTTCAAAATGCGAAAGCTTTCCCTTCCAACAATCAGAAGTGGTAGATGTGCTGATTCAGTGGAGAATATGTATTTACACATACACAAATGTGTGTTTACTCAAAAAATTGTTTACATATCATATAGGACAGGTTTGGTAGTTCAGCAGTTCAGGAAAAGGGGTACTACCATATTCTTTGTATTTATTTCAAGGGTTTAAAGTTTAAAAAGTCACCTAACTCCAAGAATTTTTCCCTGGGGTTGATGATAACTCTTAAAATTGGAAAACCTATCCCCTTTATTATAGACATTAGGTTCATTGTGGCCAAAAAATAAATAAATAAATAAACTTATGATTAGAGCCGTCTCTAAAGAAGGTAATGATTCATTTAAGTTTTTAAAAATGCTATTAGACCATCCTGGCTAACACAGTGAAACCCCGTCTCTACTAAAAATACAAAAGCAAAATTAGCTGGGAGTGGTGACGGGTGCCTGTAGTCCCAGCTACTCAGGAGGCTGAGGCAGGAGAATGGCGTGACCCGGGAGGCGGAGCTTGCAGTGAGCCGAGATCGCACCACTGCACTCCAGCCTGGGCAACAGAGCGAGAATCTGTCTCGGAAAAAAAAAAAAAAAAAAAAAAAAAGGCTATTAAATGAATTAACAGTATATCTGACTAGTCATTTAATAGTAAGTGATAGCAATTATAATGTTTTATTTATTTATGGTTTCTTCTTTCTAAAAGAAATACACAAATAAAATTTGGTTTATTCACTTATAAATAAATAAATATAGTGAATTTGTCATAATTTGTCATATATAAACTCTATATGAGGACATGTTAATCTGTCTCTTTAAAATATTAGAATATTTTTATTTCTATGATAATACTTTCCAGGTTTATTATAAGAATTAAATAAGATCAGTATAAAACACACAGTACAGCATCTGGGATATAATCTGTTAAAAATAGTAGCTATTAGATGATTACAAAAACATAATTTCAGTAAGAAATTATTATATCTACTTTTATAAAAATAATTGTCTTACTGAGTCTTTAAAACTTTACCTTCTTACTAAAATAATCTATGAAAACTAAAGAAAGTTAGCATTTTACCATGTAGCAACTGTATAATTATACAATTATATTTGATGAATCAAAAACTGAAAATAAGAATCTGTGATGCTGAAAATAGTTTTGTAAAGTTTGGTTAGACATTAAAGATTAATAAAATAAATGTGAATATTTTATCTAAAAATTTCTTTAGTCTATTATAAAGTGGGAAAAAACAAAACTTTAGGTACACAGATTCGTGTGACATTTACAGAAGAAACAGGGACAGGCCCT